>NC_000002.12:192641133-192944163 GCF_000001405.40 Homo sapiens
ATGAGAGAAAAGTTTGCTAAGTAAATATTACCAGTAAAAAATTATAATTATGCATTCTCTCACACATTGTGAATAACATCCAATTACAAAACATGCACAAAAATATATTTTGTTCTGTTTAAATGTATTTGTTAACATACTAAATAAAATACATGAACAAAATATATTTAAATATATATTTACTAATAACATAGAGATACTTAAATGATTTTATATCTATTGAAAACAAATTTGAGTTTTTTTATTTAATTAAACTAATACTGGTTTCTTTGATTATAGAAACAATTTATGCCTTTCATAAAGATTCAATGTAACAAAATATATGAGGAATAATTAAAATTATTTTTGTAAGCTACTAATTGCCTAATTTTTAATGAGTATTCTTATACATATCTTTCTTTGCACACACATACACACATATGCATATGTAAAAATCCTTGCAATTTTGTTTACAATGGGATTTTAATATGAATATTTTATATTCTTTTCACCTGCTGTCGATATGATGTGAAAATTGTACCAAGTTGATATGTTCAGATAAAAACTATTATTTTTAACAATTGCCTTGTTACCTATTATTTTAATGTTAGTGTTTACATATAAAACAATCTATTTAAGCAGTCTACAACTGTTGGACTTATGGATTTTCCACATCTTTTCACTATTATTAGAACAACAAAAATAAATATTCTAACTTTGATTTCTTTTCTGATAACTATTTTAGAATATACAGCTATAAAACAAGGTATATATAGTTCTGATTCATTACTAAGCATAAGTTTTTATATAAAGCTTTATGTTTTATTTTATAATTTTATATTACAGGTGCTCATTATTCCAGGAGTAATTCAGTAGATTGTATGCTGGCTTTGAAATTATTGTATCTTTGACAATTATTTGTTTTCAATTTCTAATTTTATTATGAGATCATAACCATTCCATTGCCAAATAACAGACTGACTTTTGTAAATTTTCATGGATATAAGAACTATGTATGTTCTTTAATTACAACACACAAAATAATATAAACTTCCCTTTAAATAAATTTGTCGATTATTTAAATCCTCTGTTTCTTTGCTCATGTACTACATTGTCGCTTAATCCAATAATTACTAAAATAGTAAACACACAGATAAATATTTTGATGTTGTATATTACGGGGGAAAAGCTAAAACTGAATTGTGATATATACTATGCAAATTTATGGAGGCAAATTTTAAAGGTGTTTGTACTATATGATCCTATTTTTAATTCATATCCAAAAGTGAATAAGATAGAAAACTTACGTACAGGCTGACAACCTGGAACATATGGAAAATATCACCTTTCCCCTGCTTCTGAGTACATAACGATTTAGCAGAGTATTGATGAGCACATGCATGTAAGGAAACCTCCTGAGGCTGAGAAAAGACCATCTGAAAGCATTAGAGAGAATGGTACTCAGTGTTCACACAGGGCTGGAAATAGTGTCTGTTTTTACCAATTAGACTGACAAACCTCGTAATTCAAGCGGTAGTAGACGGAGATTTCAGATGGGTCTCGCCTTAATTGTGGAGAATAATGAGCCCTTTGGTTCCACCAAACACAAGACCCTGAATGATCACATTTTCCAAGTTACTTAATGTATCCAGAATAAAGATCATGAAAAAGAAAATCACCAACCAAAAAACTGAAATTTGCAATATCTGGAATTCCATGAAAGATTACCAGGCATGAAAGAAGGAGGAAGTATGACCTTAAGAAAAATAAAAATCAATTTAATGAATCCAGCCCAGAGCTGATATGGATGTTATAATTAGTACACAAAAAATTCCACGTATCTTGTTATCTTTTGAACAGAAGAAATACAGAACTTCCAGGTATCTCTTTATCTTTTAAACAGAAGAAATACAGTTGTTATAACTGTAACTATATAATTATGTAATTTATTCTGTTCAAAAGATAAAGAGATACATGGAAGTTTTTTTTTAAGACCAAACCCAGACTACTGTAGTATGAAAACTACAGTTACTAAGCTGAAAATATACTAGATGTGATTAGTAGCAGATTAGGCAGCAGACAAAAGGATTATTGAACTTGGTAAGTGAACCAATAATTTCCACCTAGGTTTACACCTCTCCTTTTAATATGTTCACTAAAAGACATATACATACATATATGCTCCGAGAAGCTGTATTTATATCTCAAAAATGGACAAAACCCAATGTCCATAAATATTAAAGTGAATCAATAAATCATGGTACATCTATACAATGGAGTAATATGCATAAATGAAAGTTAACAAAAATATCCATCTATCAAAAGAATCCAGGCCCAAAACAATACATACTGTATGATTCTATTTACATGACATTTAAAACAGGTATGGTGGTAGAAATCAGGGTAATGTGTACCTTTGGGTGGAGAGTTGCTTAGAGAGGGCATACATGAGCATCTGGTGTGCTGGATAAACCATATTTCTTGATAAAATTGGTGGTTGCAAGAGTGTGATCACTGTGATAATTCATGGAGCTGTATGTTAATGCTGTTAGTACCTCTGTGTGCCTGTGTTATAATTCAATAAAATAAATAGACTGGAAAAATCAAAGGCAGACCAGACATACATACACATACACACAAAAGATGAGCAAAGCAAAAGACACATGATATCAAGACAATTGAGATTATAACATGGTTGGGCAATGATAAGCAATTCTGATGAAGCTGGATTCCAGGATATTTTTGGAGGGGGAAGAGAGGTAGAAAAGCCTGTGTATTAGCTAAAAGTGAGAAGTAAAAGACTATGCTAGCAGCAGGAATTGCAGGACCTCTTTAATTTCTCATTGATCTTTTGTTTGGATTATCTAGAGGACACTCAATAGGTAGTTCTAGATTTTTTAATATCATTTAAAATTTTTCTCATCCTGCAGAAATAGAAAACTTACTCCTAGGCTAAGCATATTGAAACAATCTATGACAATCAACTTAGTGACATTTCTCTAAAGTTTTTATTTCACCAGTCATATTTTTATTTTTGAATCATGTTTTCATACTATGCATCATTCATGTCTTTCTGTGCATTCATATTTTACATAAAAAATTAAATACCATGCTTCATATCAACATTCCTATGGAAGTGTCAGTGTTATTTAAAGTCATTCAGTGTCATATTTAATTTGCTAGATTAAGAAAGATGATCGTTAACTTTTGACAGGCCAGAATTTTTGGAAAGAAATTGTCTGGCTTTAAGCAACTAATTAAATTAACAACTACATCATTCTACATACATTTTAGGAACATATCTGCTGTCAGCAGTTTTCTTTGCATTGCATTTGCCCAATTTATTATAGTTTCCAGTGTAATGTAAATTGACTGACAACTCTATTCTCTTTCCAAGGCTCTAATACCAATGCTTGACCCTAAAGTTTCCAACATTTCAGGCTCTTTGTTTGTATCTTCAGAACCTTTCTGGTGAGTCTTCTGCTAGCCTTTCCTCTGTGAAAGAAGAAATTTTGAGTCATTTTCCTTGAACAATTATTAGAAGTTATACTTTTCTTTTTTTGCCCCAAAACAGAAATTAATGTTAATGATGTTGATGACATTGAATTGATTAATCTAATTAATTCCTTCAAAGGCTGCTTGCCATTATTTTTCAATCCATTATTAGTGAGCAAATGTCACCACAAATTGTTATTAAAGAATGTATTTACAACATATTATTATACATTTATCACTTACCACCACAACACTGGCAAACACAGTCACAAACATACACAAACACTCACACACACACATAATTTATAATAGCACCAGTTTAAATCTACACAAGAATATTCTAAAACATTCTCCATTAGCATGAAATATACCTTTATATTTTGTTTAAAGGAGTATTTCTGGAGAGCATAACTGTACCTTCTGTTTAGATAACTACACAAAATTTTTAATGCCCAAGGTATTATTTTGATACTTTGTACTGGGAATAAATAATGAAAACATAAAAGAAAAGGAACTGAATTTTTATATATAACTAATAATCAGCATTTATTGAATGTTCTTCGTGTTATATATAACTAATGATTAGTTTCTATTGAATGTCCTTTATGTTATATATTTCATGTTACTTAGGGTGGCACTTCTAGGAATTTTGATACTGACAGCAGCTTCGAACATGACAAAGATGTGACTGAGGTACCGGTACGTCCTGTGGAATTACCGTCTGAGCTGGTGTTGCTATCAAACCTGCATTGCTTACCACGGTGATATCTCTCTTCTAAAAAAGAAAAGAGAGAGAGAAACAGATGAATTCCCCAGAAACTTCTTTTTAGCTGTAGACTAATCACCTGCTTGATCCCAAAATGTGAGACGAGTTCCATTTCCCATCGCTTGTCCTGCTTCCCTCCATTAAAAATAGTAGGTATTTGAGCTAACTTCTCTCAGCACATCATTTTCACAACTTCTCTGTAAAATGGGAATGATTTCCCTGGTGACTTTGTAAATTGTGTTTTATTGTTTATTTCTATTTATGTCAAAGAAAGATAATGTGAAATTGTCAAAACTTGCTAAATGTAATATACAAATAAATGTTGGTAATTAACTAGAGTCTGCATTTCAAAAATATCAAATAAGTCATTTTGGAATATTCCTTATATAACAGCATTATATTGTTTGTGGAAATCAGATAAGAGCACTATTAGATGTAAGTCTTCTGTTTTGTAAACCCATATTTAGTGGGGTGGACAGGTACTCTCCTTCAAAGGAAAAAATATTAGAAACCCGTTAGAGAGTGACAAAATACGTAGAATTCTGATAACATTTATACACTCTTCGCAGTGAGTATCTTTTAGCACCACAGTCTCCGATGTTTCGGATGTGGCAGTCCTTGGCTGCTCTGTTTTACGTCTGCCACACTTCCTCACTTCTTTCCTTCCCAGAGTGGTGGGTTAATGGAAGCCACACACTCAGAGGCCATTCTACCTAGTTTTCTCTAGAGTCACATTGAAACTATTGGTGACTTTGCCTTTTAGTTCTTTTTCCCAGTGCTTTTTTTTTTAATTATCTCCTTAGGATAAATTATATATATTATTAAACAAAGAAATCTTTCTCTACCTAAAAGAAGAAAAGAAGTAAAGAAGGAGTTGAAGGAGAAAGTGAGCAGAACACTCTTGTTGGTCAAATGTCTGATTTATTTAGTCTTCCTGGTAACCTCTAAATCTCAACCAGCACTGCACTAAGACAACTACTCAGCAGGAAACACATTCTGCACTGTTTCTTCTATTTGTCAGACACTCATGGGCCACTTTCTCTGAATTATTAGTGTGGAACACCACAAATCAACACTTAAGATTGAGTCATTTGTCTTTAGAGGATTATAAGCAGAGCAAATAGTCAAATAAGAAAGTGAAATTCACTGCTTTAACTGGTAGATATTTTGTTTGAGGATTATACTTCTAGTCTCTAAAACAGAACTTTTTATGCATTCATATTTGTTTCTAAATTCTCCACTTGGCCATCCAAATTTTCTTTCCTAGAGGCATATACAAGAGAGGATTCTGAGGAAGATGTGTCCAAAATGAGGACTAAATCCTGCAAAGGCATAATTCTCATATAATGTTTTAAAATGCATATTGTACTTGCTATTGTTTTCCCCGAAAAGTCATCATGTTAATATTTGCATGCTATAAAGTTCACTTTTCATGGCTGTCAGACCATTGGCAAAACATTTACTTTTGTCTTAGAAAATAATTTTTTTCTAGGAAACTTTCTTACCCTAAAGCTTTTTATAAAATTCAGCAACAAAGAATTGCAGGGGTGGGGTGGGAAAAGATGAGTTACAGAAGTTTAGATTTAAACCCTCGAAAGTGCAGCTTAAAGTACCAGTTTAGACAAAGAAGTTTGTTTACTCCTCCAACTATTAGTTGTAGAAACGTAGGCAACTTACTTATCTTCTCTGTCTTTACACCCTCATCTATAACATGATCATTCTACAAATGCTCAGAGGAAATTATGAAAATTGTATTATTTATTATTTAAAAGGTGCTTAAAAGAGCATAGGTAAAACATATATGAGTTTGCGTGTGTGTGTGTGTGTGTGTGTGTGTGTAAGTCAATCTTTTATTATACAAGTCAGTGTAATTCTAAATCACCTGGCTTAGGGTGATTGTCTCAAACAGAAAAATATGGTGCTCAAAAAGCATCATATACATTTGTGTTTATTAATCTTAGAGTTTATCTTAGAGTGTCTTATAACCTAAGTAAATATTACATTTATCTTAGAACATTTGTTGAAGTTTGTTACAAAGGCATAGAAAGCACTTCAACAGGAAAATACTTTTGAAAGTAATAATACATAATGAAGGAGTGCTGTGGCCTTTTTGGGGGAAAGAGTTCTATAGTGAATTGGGATAACCCATTATTAAATGATAATTATCTGTGAAAAAAATCAGTAAATTACTTTTTCGCATTTGACTTCTATTACTTCTACTGCTTATTTATGTATAATAAGGACTTGATTAGATTATCTTTAAAGTTACCTTTCCTTCAAAAGTTTCTGAGTCTCTAATGTAAGCGTATGCTGACTAATAATTCAAAAATACTGTGACATCACTCTACAGAATATTTTGATAACTGTATATATTTTAACCAGATGGTTATATGTTATGTTTAGTCTTATTGTAGAATATAGTCTATATAACTCTTAACCAATTATTTTATTGTGTTAAAAAATTCTCTCTCATTTAAAAATATAAAGGAAATTTGGATAAAAAAGAAGGAATGCCGAGAAGAGAGAATCCTATACCATATGTCACATTCTGAATTAAAACTGTATAATAAATGCATTTTCTCACCCTCTGTAACAAGTAAATGAGGTAAATAGTATGCATGAAGCCTCGTTGTCTGGGCCTGTTGACATTCCATACATATTCAATGAATTAAGTGGAAAAGAAGTAAAAACAACGCACCATTATATACGATTTCAACACAAAAACTGTATTCATTGATTTCCAAATGCAGGACTCATGTTATTCAATACAAGCTTATTGAAACTCTGCTATGTGCTAGAGACAGTGTACTCTCCTGAGTAAATTTTACCACCACCAACAAATAAATACATGAATGTGCCTATTTTTGAAAATGCTCTGAGAATTATAAAATTCGTATAAAATATGGCACTATTATTGCAATGGTGAATATTTTCCTTATTGACATTTTCATCACATTGCTATTAATTATGATGTCTCTCATTTTGAAATAATGCAATTTTTAGAAACCCAGTAATTAATTACAGACTATATTTTCAAATAATATATATATTTTTTCAAAGTTCTGCCCTGTTTTCTTAAATATAGGGTAGATTCTTAGGGAAGAAAATGTGCCTGCTCATGACACTATATGCTCCAAAATATTTAGCATGGCATGTACCTTGTACATTTAATACATGATTTTTTATTTTAATTTTTATTTGTTTTTTGGAGGGGTAGGGTAAAGATGAGATCTCACTATATTGCCCAGGCTAATCTTGAACTCCTGGCCTCAAGCAATCCTCCTTCCTTGGCCTCTCATTTAATACATGCTTATTACATTTCTCTTTTATTTGCATCCTAAAGTTTCTCATATATTATTTTATCCGAACTGTATTTCTACTACCTCCAGCACACACGTGTGCATGCGTGCGCACCGACACATACACATTTTTCAAAATGAAGTTAGCATTAGTAATTTATATAGTAAATTTGTAATTAATGCTGTTGAATGAGGATGGTATGGAAAGAGGTTATAAAAACTAAATTTATCACATTCCAGATTCTGACTCTCATATTCTTGATCATCTTTTATTATAGTTTAAAGGAGATTATTTATTATACGGGAAAGGCAGTTAAGAGAGTGTATTCAACAACAGTTTGGTGTATCTGTGTAAAAAATCTGTCAGCAAGAGCCGGGCGCGGTGGCTCACGCCTGTAATCCCAGCACTTTGGGAGGCTGAGGCAGGTGGATCACGAGGTCAGGAGATGGAGACCATCCTGGCTAACATGGTGAAACCCCGTCTCTACTAAAAAATACAAAAAAATTAGCCGGGCGTGGTGGCGGGCGCCTGTAGTCCAAGATACTCAGGAGGCTGAGGCAGGAGAATGGCGTGAACCCGGGAGGCGGAGCTTGCAGTGAGCAGAGATCGCGCCACCGCACTCCAGCCTGGTCGACAGAGAGAGACTCCGTCTCAAAACAAACAAACAAACAAAATCTGTCAGCAAGAAATTAAAACTATTTGTTTTCCTTCCATCATTTATAAATGGGGATAGAACCTACCTCTTTGTATAGTTTAAGGTTATTAAAAGAGTTAATATTTGGAAAGCATTGAGAACTGAGCCTGGAACTTAGCAGGTACTTTGTAATCTGCTTTATATAAAAGTCGGTAAATTAAAAAGCGCATATTTTTAACTGAGCTATAAAGGCATTTAAGTCTGTTTTGTTCACTTAGATATACCTATATTACCTAAGAATGATAAGTTACTTTTTGATCCTTATGTTTCTTATCTGTCAAAAGAAGATAATATCTCTAAGTCTTAAGATTTCTGAAAATATTAAATGAAGACTTCTGTATTGTATAATTTTGAACTAAATAATTTGGACCTTACCATGAATTGTGAAAAACAACAACCAAAAAATCTGGGTAACATATCAACATTTACTTTAAGACATCAGAGAATCAACAAGAAATTAAGTAAGTAGCAGGCCATAAGTTGAAGGAAAATATAGACCCAGGGAAGCGAGCTTAGTATTTACGGTTAGTTTTTACCTGCAGAAATATGAAAATCTCAGAACAGATAATTTAGAATTTGAAATAAAGATTAGAACTTTCGGCTGCCTCTCTGGTAGAACAGTATTGATTAAAGCCTAAGACCCACCAAAGGAGAGATCTATCCCTTTGTGCTGGGATCCAAAATGAACTCCCATAAGATGGGTAACCTGAAGCAGAATGTCTGCTGTAGAAATTGCATACCAGCTTCCAATGATATTGGCCTATGAGATTATGTGTCTCCTCTATGGAGGAAAATAACATCATTCTTGTTCCAAAATTATTCCTACATATATTTAATATATATATATATATATATATATATATATATATATATATACATATACACATATATATAAAAATGGATTAAAACCAGAAAGAAAGAAAATTAAATCAGAGCAATTGGAGAACTATATATTTAAGTAATCAAATAGCACATTTAAAATAAATATGTTTAATCTGTACAAGGTGATAGACTGATTTTCTCAGGGTTTTGAAACTATCTTTCAATTTTAGTACAAGTCTCTGCCTCTATTTTTTTTCTTTTTATTATTTTAAAAACATTAAAGGCAGAAGACTTTTCTCAAATTATGGTTTTAATATTATCTTTTTCTATGGTTATAGATTCATTCCTCATGAACTCCTATTATATCTATGTATATCTATATCACACGGAATCTCATAAAACTTAATTTTTGATTAATTGATCTTTTATTTTTTAACTTTTAGTCCTTTACACGTTTACTGTTTTAAAAATCATTTTCAGGCAGGTGCTATCAGCTTTATGCTCCTTCCCATTTATTCCTTATTATGGAAAATCAATCTAGAATAACCAACACTCTCTTGGCTTTAAAGGAAAATTAAAATCCTTTGAGTATTTTGGGATGGAAGAGGAGCTTAAGTTATTTATAATGACAACAAAATTAGATTATTAGATTTTGTAATAGTAATACTTTATACCAGAAATCAAGGGCATAATGTAATTAAGATATACAAAGAGAGAAAACTTAGCTGAGGGTTTTATATCCACTAAAGTGACCTTCAAGTATAAATGTCTCAATCAAATTCTTATGAACATGCAAGGTATTATGAAATATTGATTCATTGTCCTTCTCACAGAATCTAGAGAACAAACTTAATATGATCAAAGTGGCTGAAATGGCAACAACATGAGGATTAATAGTGAGCATTAAATATAGATTTACATATAGAATTAAGGCCAGATAACAGTTATGAGTAAGAAAGTACCGTATTTAATGTCTACATACTCTACTTAGATGCATTTCAACTATCAAATATGCAGCAGGATGTGTTTAAAATTGTGAAAAAATAAGTAACAAATATGAGAAAAAAATGGAGAGTAATCTTGCTCTTAGCTTTATATGTATTAATTGGAAGTAAATTTTTTTTCAAATTAGATGCTAAAGAAGAGATACAGGAAGAAAGAAGAGCTCACTAGCTCATCTGATATTGTTTCTAAAGCAAAATCTAAAGATAAAGTCAATTAAAGAGGGAAAGTGTATAATGTACAGGTAATAACATAAATATCATTAGAACCAAGATATAAACCTCCTAAATACTAAAAGGTAAGATGACAAAGAGAGATAACAAATACATTATAGTATATAGTAAAATATTCATATATCTATATATGGCCAGGCACGGTGACTCACTCCTGTCATCCCAACACTTTGGGGAGGCCAAGGTGGGTGAATCACCTGAGGTCAGGAGTTTGAGAGCAGCCTGGCCAACATGGAGAAACCCTGTCTCTACTAAAAACACAAAAATTAGCCGGGTGTGGTGGCGTGTGCCTGTAATCTTAGTTACTTGGGAGGCTGAGGCAGGAGAATCACTTGAACCCGGGTGGTGGAGGTTGCAGTGAACTGAGATCATGCCACTGCACTCCAGCCTGGGCAACAAGAGTGAAACTCTATCTCAAAAAAAAAAAATTCATATATCTATATAATAGCTTTACAGTATTTAAAAATATAGACAAAAATATGAGGTTTATTAAACAAATTATTACCTATTGGAGAAAAAAAAGAAAATAGAGGACTCAGGAGCAGCTTTCTATAAATAGCTCATGTCTTCTGGAATTTACTTTCAAACTGGAACATACATAATAATTTACAAAATACAAAAAATAATTTACATAACATGAAAAATAAATAATTTTTTTTACTACAAAAAATTTAGAAAACAAACTCAGAAGTGAAATGAGAAAAATGAGCCTCTGTATCCAGTTAGTGATGTTATCAGCACAGTGTGAAACACATAATTCAGTTTTATATACTTGACCAGAAATAAGAACAAAAAGAATAATCGAAAACATTTTAAACTCTCTTCAGTAGTCACAATGTATCATTCTCAGAGCATTGGGATGATAATTTGGCATAAACCAGTGCATAATTATTTTGGTGTCATTGAAAAAATTTAAATGGCTTTTCATCAGGAAAGAATGGCTTTATCTATCTAGCATCATCTACCTACCTATCTATTTATCCAGTCTCTGAGATTTAATAATTCTTTGGTTACATGCAATTTTTCCTAATTCTTCCCATTGAAAATAATTAGGAACAATGGCCAACTCAGTAGCAACAAGCATCACTAATAACCTAATATGGGGCTTGGCACAGTGGTGCATGCCTGTAGGCCCAGCTACTCTGGAGGCTGATGTCGCAGGATCACTTGAGTCCAGGAGGTTGAGGGTACAGTGAGCTATGATCACGCCACTGCACCCTACACTGGGTGACAGAGCAACACCCTATCTCAAAAGATAAAATAAAATAATCCAATATGGTCTCTAATACCATAACATATCCTCTTGAATGAATCCAGGGTTTTTTAGAGAGATGGCTGATTGCAGCTAATAGTCAAAGGAATGTGCAAGATGAATGTCACACCAGAAAGTAAGACACTATCAATTACTTCTAGGGTCATGTCAAACAGTGGGAACTGCATAGTATCAAATGCTTACATTAAAAAAGAAGGTGCTCTAATTATTAATCTAAGGTTCTTAGGAAAGAAATTAGGAAACCAGGAAAAACAAAAGAAAGAAATTAGGTAAACAAAAAAGGAACTCATACCAAATACACAAACAGGAAATAAAATATGAGAGATAAGAGCAGAAATTGATACAATGATAATGAAAAATGAGGAACAAGTAATGAAAGCAAATTTTGTTGAAAAAAAATCAATAAAATTGACAAATTTCGAATGAGATTGATCCAGAAAAATGGGAGAAGATACAAATCACCACTATTGAGCATGAAAGAGAGGACAACATTGAAGATGGAACGATGGAATCATTCTGTATGGAACCATGATTCTAGATACATCATACATAGAACTATGATTTTAGATACAATTGTCAAAATTTATAGAACTGCACACCACAAAGTGTACATCACTGTAAGTAAATTTTAAAAATCAACTAGAATGTGGGAAAGGGGAAAGACCCAAGTGAAATGCACATATGAAAAGTAGAATCAAATTGTACTATAAATGAAATATATACACTTACGGGGAAGAGAAAGAGAGAAGTTGATCCAAGTTGCTTTGAGTGGGAATAAAATGCTTTGAAATGATGCGATTAGACGAAAGAACACAAATAACTTTACACCACATTGTACTATAGTTGGTAAGCTTGTTCTACACAAGGCTGTGAAATATAAATGGCATGTATGCATACTTAATACACACAGGTTTACCAGCTCTGTACCCTAAGAGAGTATAGACACATTTATTATTATATTTTTACATTTCACCTTGTGAAATGTAAAAAAGTAAAACGAATTTCTCAAAACAACTTATAGTGAATACATATTTGAAGGTGTTATTTCAATACAGGGAAGCATGCTTCTAAATAGAAGTTCAGAAATGTAGAAAGAAATAATGAATAATGAAAATTGTGTGCATATATGTATGTTTAAATTATATTTCACTATATTTATGATGTAATCAAGAAAATTTTTGTTTTGTTTTGCTTTTGAGATAGGATCCCACTCTGTCACCCAGGCTGACCATTTCAGCTCACGTCAACCTCTGCCTACCAGGCTCAGGCGTTCCTCCTGCTTCAGCCTCCAGAGTAGCTGGTAGTACAGGCACACACTACCACAACTGGCTAATTTTTATGTATTTTTTTTGTAGAGACAGGGTCTCACTATGTTGCCCAGGCTGGTCTTGAATTCCTGAGCTCAGGCAATCCGCCTGCCTTGGCCTCCCAATGTGCTGGGATTACAGGCATAAGCCACCATCTCTGGTCAAGAAAATTAAATAAATCAAATTCCTTGAGCCTTCCAGGCAACCAAAAACAGATAAAAATGCCAATTAATGTTAGAGTTTGATAAACAGGTTGCTGGTTGTAATTTCTAGAGTAATCATCTAAAGAATATCAAAACTGTATGGTACAAACTGCCAATAAAGAATGAAATTGAAAAATCAGATTCACAATTTAAATAAAAACAAAGAGGAAAGAAAAAACATTGAGCAGAAGGGAAAAATGTACTGAATAAAAGTATGCATAGAAAAGTCCTAATTATAGGTGAAAGGACTAATAAATACAGGTGCATTAAAACTATGGAATTTTGTTTATCAAAAGACACGCCTATGGTTAAGTAATTTGGCTAAATCACTTTAGACAAGAGGGAAGAGGAGAAATGCTTGGGGTAGAGGGACCTAAAATGTAGATGTTCTGGTTTGGGAGCTTTCTTGATGTATTTAAAGAAATATCAAAAGGCTGTCTGAGACAGATTTAAGGAGAATACTAGGAGTAATAAAAAATGAGGTTAGAAATTAACAGAGAGCTAGACCAAGAAAGCCAATTTTTTTTTGTATGGATTTTGCCTTTCATTCTGAAATATGAAAACTGAGACTTCACCATTGATTTTAGCACCCTGTAGTCCATTGAAACATAACAGATGTTACAGCACAATGTTGGTGGTGGTGTGTAGGTGGGTGGGTGAGGAGAAGGAGTAGTAAGAATATTACGAAAGCCTGACTGGAGATTTAGAAAGGAATAAAGTAAACTGAAGACAGTGAGTACTGATGACTCTTCTAAGAGCTTTTGATATAAAAGAAGTGGAGAATTAGGGTCCTGGCTCCAGTGTAATTGTTTTTTCCTTTTACTGAGAGAAATTGATATAGGAGTTAAGAAGGAATTACTTAGGCAGATAGCAAGGGTATGGGAGTCCTCGGTAAGGCTTTTCTTCTTAATGAAAAGCAACCCCAAATCATTTTCCAACGAAGAGCAGCCTGCAAACTGGGAGCCAGCAGGAACTAAGGATTAGACATTTTCAAGATGGCGGCTCCGTCTTCCCTTCTCTGCTATCCGTGTGTGCTCTAAGGAGCAGACAAGGTGGGCCTATCAACTGGAAAGCCCATTTGCATAAGATTAGGTTGGGGCCACAAGTCTTCCCTGTCCACTATGTAAACGTCATACATTATCGAACCAATCTATGAGCCCTGTGTAAATCAGACACCACCTTCTCAAATTGGACTATAAAATTCGGGGCATTTGCGGCCAGATGGTCCTTTCGGATCAGAGACGCCTTGCTCTATAGAGGAAGCTGTTTCTCTTTCTCTAGTAAACCTCTGCACCTACACTCCTCGTGTATGTCCTTGTTTTAAATTTTCCTGGTGCATGACAATGAACCCAGGGTATATACCCCAGACAACGTAGCCACTTCAAAATAACAGATTAATCAGCATGGTTATGTTTTTCTTTGTCAACATTCAGCTGCAAGGGTAAGTACACTGAGAAAGTGGCAGACTTAACAAGGCTTGTTTTTTAGCTAAACATTTAAAACGATGGTGCAAGTATTTTAGGATATACATAAATGAAGTGAGGACATAAGGCTTTAAGAGACACTGAAAAAGTGGAACAGCTCAATGAATTATGGGTCCTTGTGGGGACAGTTTTCTTGGTGTGGAGTTAATGGATGTTATTGTTGCAGAACTTTCTCCTTTGTTCAGCTAAAACCAGGTTCTTGTCACACGACCAGGAAAGATTAGACTCGCAGACACATAGAAAGGTGAGTAGCAGAATTTACTGGGCAAAAAGGAAAAAGGGGAAAAAAAAACTCAGCAAAGTGAGATAGAGTCCTGCTAACCAGCCCTCCACCTCGCAGATTGATTCCCAGGTCACCACAGGAGCTGAAGAGGGCAGGCTCCTCCCCTGCATAAGGCAGGCATTCCCCATGGCTCCACCCAGTTCCCCCAGTGCACACGTTGGGCTCCAGTGCACTATGGGCATGCCCAGAAAAGCCCTGGGCAGGTTCCCTAATCTGCACAAAAGTATCTGATGTAAACTGTGGGGCAGGTGGGAGACTCTCTGGGGACCCCTTTTTATCTGCCTAGCCATTTGGCTGTCTCATTATCAGCTGAAAAGATAAGAAGTGATAGTTGGAGGTACTTGAAATTGAGATACTGGTGGCATAGTTATTGGTAATGAAAAAATATTTTTTATGACAACAGGAAATACACATATATGTGTGAAGACAAGATCATTGCAAAAGAGGTACAATTATCCTGCATGCTTGCATATTAAGGTCATAATGAGGTCATCTATGAGGATACTGAAGTCACTGAAACTGATGACATAGTGCTGAGTTCGTAACAGTAAGTCAGGGGCAAAAATCTTCCAGGAAAAGAAGGCAGTGGGCTGAGACTGCAAATATTGTTGCAAATAGGTGGAATAAGGAGAATGAATAATAATGTTGGTGTTTACCAATAATAGTATATCACTATTTTGGAAAAGCCTTGAGAAAATAGAAAATCAGATATAAATTTTGACAAGAAAGTTTTTGACTAGGCAGTAAGACACCAATATTTAATTATTAGTCAGTGGATATTCATATAACTATAAATTATGACAAGCATTTAGTAAACTTTGCTTTTCCCTATCAGGGGCATACAACACATTGCCATCTATGAAGGTGACCACTAGATTCATAACTAGATAGCAAAGAGCTGTTTCATTATATCAATAAGAATTGAAAGAACCAAAGTAGAGCTGAGTCCATAAAAGGGAAGTAGGAAAGCATTTAGAAAAAAACATCTTAATTATACATATTTTTCCATATGGTTGTTTGGTTAAAGCTGTTAGTCGTTAGTGCCTCAATATGGGGAAATAAATTAGTGATTTCTAAAGGACTTCAGCCTTGTATTAAGTGATAACTTTACTAAATACTCATCTTTATTATTTTTAACTTAATAAATGCATCTATTTTATGATAGCTTCTCCTTATTATTTCATATACATTCTTGCTTTTACCACATTCAACAGTATCCAATTCTCTTTCAGAAGTACAACTTTACAGGTAAAATTAAAAAGCTGGGAATGGCTGCTATTTACTATCTCTATCTTATGCAAATTAAGCCATAAAGGAGTAGTAAAACAAATGGCAGTTTTACATTGAATAAATCTTGAAGCTAAAGAAAGCTGGGAATAAGAACCATGGAATTTGCTTAGGTGGTTAAAGCGATTAAGGTTAACGCCCTCTGTATGCATTACAGACTCTGTCTAGTCATCTGTGTCTGAGTATAGAGTAATCTAATGAATCAATCAGATCCTACATTTCAGCTCAGCTGGTGGAGGGATAACAATAAAACTTGTGGGACAGAATTGTTCTATTGATCCCGCCTTAATCTAATCTCCCCTGCAGTATCTACTGATCACTGGGTGTCCACCCCTGCAGGACTCTTGCCCTAAAGTAATGACAGCTGAGGTTGTTATTAGGTCAACAATGCTTGCTAGCTCTCTCATTAAGTCCTGTCATCCATTATCAGAATACAGCCATCAAAAACATGACAGCAAGCACTTCTCATGAGTTTGAACCATTCTATAAGAAAAACAGAACTGAATACACACACACACACACACACACACACAAAACAAACACACATACGCACATTTTCTAGTCTAGGTTTATTGATAGGAAAAGATCTTGGTGCCAAATCATGTAAGAAAAAATATCTAATTCCCTCTTTCACATCGATCAAATTAGAATTGCAGGAGTCAGAAGTTGAAAACGTAGGTGCCTTCTTACCTTCTATTTTTTAAAAATCGCTTTATTCAAGACATTGATTATCATTTTTAAAAGGAAATAGAAGCTCATTTCAGTGACAGTATGACCTTCAATAATGCCAGACTCCTGCTGCCTCTAAAATGGCTTTTATGTTTCAAGGGGATTTTTTTTTTCTTTCTTCAGCTAAGATTTAAAACTACAGTTGTGAGATCAGGTGTCTTGTAGAAAGAGATTCAAAAAGAAATACTGTAATACTTCTAGTTAATAATTTTGAGGATAAAAAAACTAAGCAAATTATTGGCATGTTTATTCAGTGTGCAAATGTAATTTCTGCATTATTTTTAATAAAGGGAACTACTAAACAAAATCAGTGGAGAGTAAAGCTATTATTTAATTATAAAGTATAATCAATATGTATAAATGTTAAAGTTGTGGTGTATTCCCCATTGAGGATTACGTATCATTTTAATGAGGCTTGGAAAAATCCACTATTTTGATTGGAAGTCTTCAATGTAATATAAAAACCTTAAAAATGGTATTATTATTCTTAAAATCTTTGAAAATTTAAGAACATTTTAAAACATTGACTTCTTCATTTGTGTCTAGTTACAAAAAGTGTAATAAATATGTTGAAAGGGGGCTAATGACACCTAGGCATTTAACATTCTTATTTTAAGACGTTTATGAACTACAATTAGACAATTACTGCTAATTGGTATGCTAGGATAATAGAACTATTAGTGTATAAGAGAGTTAGCAATATGTTGAATGTATGGCATTCATCCAAGGATCAGTGGCGCTGATGTTTTCTTTGCTCTTTTTTGTTAACATTGAATAAAGAATCACTCTTGCTCTTCATCAGCTCCAAAAGTGATTTTGCTTACAATTTTCACTAGTTCATGTTTTACACTATTCATGTTTATGTCTTCGATATATTGCTTTTTTCCACAGTTGAAGGGAGTTAAACAATTTATTCACTGAGAGCTAAAACCTAAAGCCAACCTTGCAAACTAAACTGTGAGGACTTTTTGTATTTTGAAAGTTCTTTCTCTCTTCTTAAATTGTGGAACTATTTTTGAATACATTTTTATAACAAAATCATGCTTAAAATCATGAATGCTTTCTAGGGATATGACCATCATGTTAATACTGTCATTATCTCAAATGTGAAGGCAGCCTGAATTATGTGTGAAAGACAGGATGAAGATAACCAGGTGTATTCAAATATAGCAATGGACACAAGATAGAGAAAGATCTGTACCAGTAATACTAAACTGTTAAAAAGGAGATTAAAATATCTAGTGGTCTCTTCTATATTCTTCTTAATATGTAATGTTATTTAGACCATTTAGAAGGAGTTAATTAATATAAATGAATACATTCCTGTTGGCTCTGATTTACAGTTACAGGGCTAGAAAACTGTCTTAAGAACAAGAAACAACTATGAACACATCTATTGTAAGATATTCAAAGATACTGACTTCCTCATGGACAAACCAAATGAAGCAAGTTAGTCCCTAAAGGCAGTAATAAGAATTGCTAGATACTCTCCATCATCTGAGCTACAATATTCAACATTACAATTTCTCTAGAAAAGTTTGCTTCATTTAACTTGGTTTCCCCTACACACACACACACACACACATACACACACACACACTTTTCAGAATGAATAGTGTAGGATTCTGAGATATAATTTTGCACATAACTCAATACCCAAGAGCACTTCTTTATTCCAATGTTAAAAGACTCATTTTAGGCCAACATTAACATTGCTGCATTATGCTGTAAAATGTCAGGCATGTTCTGCTTTAGAGTCATCTTAATAGACCCGTCTTCCTTGCTAGTTATTCATGGCTTCTAACACCAATAGAAATGCAATGCCTAGAAGCATAATGACATGCCTTAAGAAAATATTACTTGTGCCATCATTCATTAATTCACTCAATGATAGATGCACCCATTTACGATGAATTTAACCATAGGTCATTAAGGCAGCTATAATTTTTTTGAAAACATTATTTCCTCCACTAATCCAAATCTGCTATATAATTATTACATTCAAATTATTCCTTTTTCTGGATCTGTGTCCATTTGTCTAAATGAGCCGTGGTTTTCCCCCACCTCTGGCCATGCATCACCTGTGTAGCACTTTTTTTTTATTATAGTTTAAGTTCTAGGGTACATGTGCACTGTTTTAAAGACGGTTGTTAGAAACCCATTTCATTAAATAAAGAGCACCCTGGACTGAGGGCTAGATTTTGGTGTGGTTTTTAAAATCCAGAGGTGTTTGTCTTCTCTTTTAATCCACAAAGTCTTATTTTATTCTTTTTTTTGAATTATAGTTTGTTTTTATTACAAACATGGAAAACAAGAAAGGGAGAAAACATTAAATATCTCACCAAAATTTTTTCCAGTCTTCAGCTACAAAGATTGCAAGTCTAAACAATGTGTCATGCATCTTTCTGGGCTATTTCTATATATTCTACAAAGAGAAGAATTTTACAGCTGGGCTGCTGGGGGTGACATCACATATCAGCAGGTTCCATGATGCCCACCTGAGCCACAAAACCAGCAAGTTTTTATTAGGGATTTTAGATGGGGGGTGGTGTACAAACAGGGAGTAAGTCACAAAGATCACATGCTTCAAAGGGCAATAAAAGATCACAAGGCAGAGGCAAAAATTAGAATTACTGATGAGGGTCTGTGTCCCGCTGTGCATGCATTGTCTTGATAAACATCTTAACAGGAAACAGGGTTTGAAAGCAGACAACCAGTCCGACTAGAATTTACCAGGCTGGAATTTCCCAATCCTAGTAAGCCTGAGGGCACTGCAGGAGAAGAGGGCATCTTTCAGTCCTATCTTAACCGCCTAAGACAGACACTCTCAGAGCAGCCATCTGTAGACCTACCCCCAGGAATGCATACCTTCCCCAGGATTACTCCATGCTGGGAAAAGAATTCAGCGATATTTCTCCTATTCACACATCCATGTATAGGCTTTCTGTGAGAAGAAAACTATGGCTCTATTCTGCCCAACCCTGCAGGCAGTCAAACCTTATGGTTATCTTCCTTTTTTCCCTGAAAATCGCTGTTATTCTGTTCTTCTTCAGGGTGCACTGACTTCATATTGTTCAAACACCCATGTTTTACAATCAGATTTCATATTGTTCAAACACACATTTTACAAACAATTTGTACAGGTAACACAATCATCACAGGGTCCTGAGGTGACATACATCCTCAGCTTAGGAAGATAACGTGATAAACAGATTAAAGACAGGCATAAGAAATTATAAGAGTATTAATTGAGGAAGTGATAAATGTCCATGAAATCGTCACAATTTATGTTCAGAGATTGCAGTAAAGACAGGCATAAGAAATTATAAAAGTATTAATTTTGGGAACTGATAAATGTCCATGAAATCTTCACAATTTATGTTCTTCTGCCACTGCTTCAGATGGTCCCTCCATTCAGGGTCCCTGAATTCCCGCAACAAATGAGTAAGTTAGTTGCCTGATCTCAAGGATATTTTAATGTTGTGTGTGTGTGTGTGTGTGTGTGTGTCTGTGTTGCACAGAAATAGTACAAGGTTATGAAATAGAATGGCCATAAACTAAGTAGATGAGAGATATATTTAAAATAAGACTTGAGCTTTCAGAAAAAATAAGAGGCCTCTTCTAACTGTGTCTAACTATGTACAAAAGTAACATTGAGTTGGATTATGAAATAGGGGATCGTGGAAGAAATAAATATGAAGATAGTCTTAAAAGCTTGAGGAGTACAGTTTGACAGGGGAATAGGGATAGAGATGGGAGAAATTCAAGTTACCACTGATAGGGCAGTTTAGATCACAGAGAGGCTTATGAATGTCAAGTACCAGAATTTGAATTTTATTTTAGCATATGGTAGTTATTTTAGCATATGGTAGCCAAACAAATGTACTACATTTAAGAACTTTGTTATGCGTCTTTTAATGTAAACTGAAGGAGACTATCAAGAATAAATACCTATTCCATTTATTAAATATTTAAACATTATTCTTATTAGGTAGAATTGTTTAAAAGAGGGAGAGATTAAGTAAAACATAGTAAAATGTATATCTTCTAAAGGCATTGGTTTAGTCATTCTGCCTTTCCCTTTATTTATTTGACAAAGGTATATGAAATAAAATTTAGAAATTTCAAATGCATTAGGAAAACAAATGGAGGTGTCAGCTCTCTGCACACACCATTTCATGCTCACCTAGAGTGGACAATGAACAAACTGTCATCCATCACGTTTGTTTGCCTTGTAAGATACACTCAAAGTGTCCAGACACAGTGGTTTCTTTGCTGTAAATGCTGTTTAATAAAATTGTTTCTTCACTTGCTACACCTGCTATGTTCTGACAGTAAATAGTGCTATCTACCTAGTAAAATCAGCGACATTAGGAAGCTAAGCAGATGTTTTAGGGCACAGAAACAAATCTTATCATGAGTGAGTTAAAAAATGAATTTTAACACCAACTTGTCATTTTGCTCATTTTTTTTTTCTTCTTGATCTGTCTTGTAATTAAAGGGACAGAGTGCAATGGTTTGAATATGGAGAGACTTCTAAAATATGACACCTTGGTAGGGGCATTTTGTAGACTGTCTGATTCACAGACGCACTTTCTTGTACTTTAGCTCGAGAAAATTTGTAATTCAAAAAGCCTCAAGAAAGAGTTCTTGCACTGATATACTTTGATACAGATTATCTCCATAAAAATGTTACCACATGAGACTTTGGAGTGTCCGGAGTAATAATTAAACATAGCACTTTGCATTTCAGCAACAACTGATAGATTCTTCCATCATCCTTTAGAGCAGGAAGGCTAGAATTTGTTATTTCTCTGATACAGAAAAGTCTTTCAAGTGTGATAGAGATTATTCTATTACATCTTTAATATAATTCTATAACCACACCGGACATGTGGAATTTATCATTTCACCTATTTGAGAAATAGAAAAATAAAGGCATGCTGATGAAATACATGAAATTATTATTACATAAAATATGTAGAAAGAAGAGTATGGGATTCCATATTAGAAAATCAGTACTCAATTCAGGTTCTGCCATTTACTAGTTAGGTTATCTCAGTGGATAGTCAAATGTCTGGATCTTTTCCTCATGTATAAAAAATTCATAGAATGCTCTCAGAATGAAATAAGTAGTACAAAGCATGTGGCTTAACTTACTCTTCCTAAACAGGTAATTCAAAAGTTTCGTGTTTAGAAGATAATTGATCACATTCACTTAATATTTTAGGTTACCTATAATCTTGAGGAATTTAACAAAAATTATATATTGTATTGATTTGACCAATATTTATTGTGTTTCTGTTTTGTGTTATGTACTTTTCTTGGCACTAAGGATAAGGCAGCGAATAAAATAGATTATCAGCTTTTGTAGCGCTCCTGTTCTAATAAATGCAGAGCCACAGCAAGGTAAACTAACAAAATACAATATTTGAGGTGATAATAAGTTTTATGAAAAAAAGGTTAAGCAGGTTAAGGGAGGAGGGAGTGACATAAACTAGAGGTAAATATTAATTTAGAATAAACCTGTTAAGAAAAGAAACTCAGATTAGAAAAACAATTGAGCAAAGACCCAAATGAAGCAAGTATTGTAAATATTAGAGATCATTCTTAAGCAAAGCAAATGAGCATAAACTGGGCCTTAGGTGAAAAAGGCCCTGGCATGTTTATCTCCCTCGTATTCTATTAGGTACTACATTGCTTGCCCCAACAGGTCTTAAAAGGTATTAATTAAAAAGCAAGCACACTGAAGTCAGAAAAAGCTTCATGATGCAATCATGTCAAAAGTTCTAGGTAGCAGACTAATGCACAGGATGAAAAGTCCATACACATCTCACATACAGAATATTTAAGTTCAATGAATAAATTTCATTAGACTATACCACTCAAGGATTTAAATGTTGGAGCACTAAAGAATCTTAGAAATTATAGTGAAGGAATTATTAACCCCCAAACTGTAATTACTTTGTGTATATGTATTTAAAATTAATCTTTTCTGATTTCTTCAACTTTTTCATATACCGTTTTCCTCTAGTATATTTAGCTTTTGTTTTGTTTGTGTTTTGCATATTTGTTTTTTATTTTGGTTATTGTTTTTGTTTTAAGTAATAGAGACGTAATGACCTACAAGATGAAATCTGAGACATGCATGCATGCATATAGGTATACAATTTGTTAGGTAGCGATAAAGTCATACCTTCCCAGACTGTAAAATTTTAAAAGCTCTGATACTGTCTTTCTTCTGAAAGAGTCTATTTTGTAGATGATGTTATTTCTGGCCACATTTTGCCTTAATTTATGGATTTTGGTGTGATATATATAATACACTAGAAATCAGCTCTACTCAATATGTAGCATTGTGTCTAATGTCCTTTTCTTTCTTTTATCACCTATATTTTTACTTTCAGGTACAAGATTTCTATCTGGTATGGATAACAAACAAATCACAATTTTTTCACTCTGTAGGAATTAGGCTGATGGAAAAGAGCTTGCATTTCTGTGTTTTCAAATTCTGTTTTATGGTAGCCTCATAATATAATGCAGGGAGAGACAGTAAAGTCTGTGGAAAGGGCTGTTCTTAAAGCCAGGAACTTGAGTATCCTTATGTTTGCTGCTGACTAACTTGAGCAAGTCATAACTTTCTGAGCTTCAGTTTTCTCATCTAGGATATGAGGTCCTTTGAGTGTTTCTACACTTTATCCCTCTATGATTCTGTAACATTTAAGAAGACTCATAGTTATTCTGTTGTGTTGACTATTACATGTTTCAAATAATTTCAGAAACCCAAATATAACGTTGAACACCAGTTATACCTTGACATTCTCAACTTCATATCTAGAATTGACTATCATAATGTGTGAATATGATTTAACATTTTCAACTTATCTACTCACAAATGGGGGTAGGTGCCCTACACTCATATTTTATTTACCTTTGTACCAACCTAATGTGACCTGTTTTATTAGTTTGAACTGTTTTTACCCTTAGTTATTATATTTTTCTATACATCTACTTTGTCTTCATTATGAGATTGTAAACTTTATGAAGATAATGAATATAACTTTTTGTTACAGCCTGTGATTTTCAGCATAATGTGCAAAGCAGTCACATACAAATAAGTACTTGGATGGATGCTTATTTAACCAAGGACACTGAATAACAATTATTTTTAAGTTGGTCTTACTAGGACATTCATTTACTATGGTTGTCAGGTAAAAGGGCCATATACAGAAATCCAACCACAAATCTAGTGATACATTTCCTTAGACATCTTACATTCAAAATCAATTTGTGTCTTATTAAATTAAGGGGAAATAAGTCAGGTAATGTCATGTCATGTAAATACCTGAGCTTACCAATATTTCTATAGAAACTTGATTTAATGTAAATATCATTGTACAAAAAAGCTAGCTTAAAGCAAATAAAAATGGGATAGGAGGGGGAAAAAGGATTTTATCTAAAACTATTACTCTATCAGTCTCTTCTTTCATATTTTCTCCAGAATAAAATCACTATTTCAAAGGCAATATGGCATAAGAATACACATCCTTTGCTAGCATAAGATTACATTTACTCATTTATTTAATTGTTTTTTTTTTCTGATAAATTCCACTTATAGGCTAGGGTAAGAGTAAACAAAGTTCTTTGTTCTTCTAATATATTTCTTCTTAGAAATTCTGTCCTAGAAACAGAAAGCTGAGCTTATGTTAATCTTGATTTGTTTGCATTTTTAAAAATTTCAGTAAACAAATGCATAAGAATTATAAAAACAAGTAATAAGCAATTCTATTCACTTTTTAATGCCCATAGAAGTTTGGTAGTTGAAATTCATTTTAAATATAATTGTGTTGCAGACTGCCATTTCATTTACATTTTTAGAGTACTTTCAGATAAACTTTTGACCACTTTCTCTTTATGAAAAATAGAAAAAACTGCTAGTAGTCATTCACACCACCAGACATAACTTATTGTTAACAACAAGAACAAAAAGTCTCAATTTAATCATTCTTTTTTATACAAATGGATTTTTTTAAAATCATTGTTAGGATCCTACTAGCTGGATGTCCTCTTGTGGCTTAAGTAGGTATCAGATATTTGAATTTAATTATCTTCCTGGTACCTACAATTTATTCTCTGTGGGGTTTAAGCCTATACGAATTATTCACTTTTTGAACTAGTTATATGTTTTCATAACCAAACACAAAGATATATGCTTGTTGATCATTTAATCTGAAGAACTGTATGAAAGTTAACTGATTTAGAATATATTTGTAACATGATAGATGATCATTTAATATATGTGGAAATATTCTTCTCCTCTTTCCAGATTACTTCAACCTCCTACTTCTTTTTACTACCATAGTTTATTAATGACAAGGAGGAAACAATGAACTAAGGATAGAGTGAAAAAATTGAAAGATGTAAAATATGTTATTTCCTGAATAATAGTTGGATTATTTGGGGAATATGTTCACTCATTCCATTAAGATTTTATCCCCAGAATCATCCTCAAAATATGGGTTGTCTGTGTATTATATTCTCCTTTATCAACATAGTGATAGAATACTTTCTCATAGGGTAATTTTAAGTGTCAGATGATTCTAAATATCATAATCAGTAAATAATGTTATTAGATATTGATATTATATTATCATTATCATTAATATTACTGGGCTTGTTATTATATGGCAAATTCAGTTATTTACATGAGAATAATCATTTTGGCGATTTTGGAACAATGATTTAAGTAAACTTCTGGCTGAAAGAAAAGAGATGGCTCTGACCATCAAATGGTACAATTTCCTGTGGTTTATAACATGTACACATACCAGTGTTGGGTTGTGTTTTCCTCTTCATTTTACCATATGCCTTTTAGCTTTCTTCGTTTTATGAAATAATTTCTCACTCAAGTATTTTTTTGACATTCATATTTTTTCATCTGTATAAGAAAAGAGTTATGTGAGTTAAGGAAATAACGCATTTCTCTTTGTTCATACCTCTATGGATGACCTTAGCCTCCCCACACCTCGAGTGGGACAATTCCTGTATGCTCAAGTTTCTAACCAATTATATGACATCTTCCTATTGATTTCCTTTCTATTCTGGTACTTTGTAAATTGAAACTTGCTTTTATTCTTCTGGGAATATTTTCCCTATCGTTAACAGTAACTTATGTTTCCCAAACTAGTTTACTATGATTACGTAGGTAAATCCTTTCAGTTCTTCCTGAAAAAGGTTGTCACTACAATCTGCATTTTTATGTGTGTGTGTGTGTGTGTGTGTATATATATATATGCACTTCAATAATATATATATATTTACTCATCATCACTATTAGAGGACATATATATATAAAACAACATATATAAATAATATATAATAAGTATACATAACAACATTTAGAATATCTACCTATTGATTGTTAGTTCTAACTTGTTTATACTTACTAACTCATTTATAATTATAATTAGTCCACAAATAACGTTCTACTATCATCTTCATTTTATAGGAAAATTGAGTCACAGGGTGGCTAAGTGAATTCCCTGTGACAAAAGAGGGGGAAAAGTTGGAAAAATAACACAGTCTAAATTCACTCAGTAAAAGTATATGATTACATGGTTGTCAAAAAGCTGACTATGACCTAGATTGCTATATATATATATGCTATACTCTTTATGGCATATATTTTGTAGCACTCCCTTTAATATCTTGAAATATTATATAATCATAATATAAACAATTTATGTATCTAGTTTAAATAAAATTTATATATTATTCAATCTTTAAAGGAAAACTTGAGGGAAAATAATTTATAATACACATTATTTTAAGTTTTAAATGCTTGTACTCAAATACGGGAAAAGATTTAAATAAGTATATCTGATTCTTGTATGTATACATGCTATACAATCAACATGAGTGGGTCAGGCATATTGTATTGCAGAGTGATACAAGTGTGTTCTATTGGTTGTATGATTTTTCAAAGTGATGAACAACTCTTGGTAAAACTCCGATTAAAATAAAGTACAACTCCTCTAGTGATTTACACAGTAATTACACTAATGAAAATTCAGCATGTATAACTCAGCAAAATGCCCTTTGTGTTGACATCAAAAATTAATTTGTTTCTATGTTTAGATAATTACATGCATGTTTCTTATTTCATGAATGAATGCCTAGTGGGATATTTAGAAGATGTGAGAGATACAGAGTAACACTTTTTTGGGGGTTACTGACCCATGGATTTTATAAAACATAGTATCTTTGGTCCCATTTCATAAAATGCCAACTGCCCTTCCCCAAATTACTCCTAGACATTTCTAGGACATCATATCTAGAGCATGATATCACACATGCCGAGAACATCCAAATTGGTTGCCTTTTGTCAATGTAACTCAAAACTATGTACATTTTTATAAGACACATCTCATGTTTATTTTTCCTTGTGAATTTAGAAAGTATATTAATAAAGCACATACACACTCTCAGGTCAAAAGTTCATCCCTTTTATACAATATTGGGTTACTAGAAAATGAATTCTTATATCTTTAAAAGCAGAACAGTTACTGAAGGGAGAAGGAGTAGTCAATAATTTATTGTGCATTTATTTGAAGTCACGCTTTCAAATGCTAAAGTTGAGCACTCTTCATTTTAAATGCTTTTTGATCTTTTTACTTGCTGTCTTCACCTTTGCTTATAAAGTAAAATCTAAGGGAGAAGACATGTAACTAGTTTGCTCTTAGTTTGGTAGCAATGTGATAGTAATAAGAAAACAATAATCATCATAATAATTTAACAATTAGTACCCAAATTCCTTTTATGAGATAAAATTGTCATTGTTTATGAAAATAACTTCTAGAGCCACCCCAGAGAAGGACTCAGCAAAAGACAATAAAATGAAGAAAGAGAAAATGTTATACAAACAAGTTACCCAGTGTGACGGTTAATTTTAGGTGTCAAATTGACTTGATTAAGGAATACCCAGATAGCTGGTAAAGCATTAGCTCTGGATATGTCTGTGAAGATGTTTTCAGAAGAGATTGGACAAAGTCAAGAAGATCCACCTCCACCCAATGAGGAGAGGCATCATCCAATCAGCTGAGGGCCTGGAATCGAACAAAAAGGCAGAGGATTGGCAAATTCATTTTCTTTGCTGGAGCTGGGACAACCATCTTCTTCTGCCCTTGGACATCAGAACTCCAAGTTCTCTGGCCTTAAAACTCAGGGACTTGCACCAGCAGCACTCGAGCTTTCCAGGCCTTCAGCCACAGACTGAGTTACACGATTGACTCACCTGGTTCTCAGCCTTTGGACTACAACTGATTAATGAAATAGCTTCCCTAGTTCTCCAGCTTTCAGACTTTCAGACAGCCTATCGTGGGACCCCTCAGCCCCTGTGATTGCATGAGTCAATTCCCCTTATAAATCCCCTTTCATGTATATGCAGCCTGGTAGTTTTGTTTTTCTGAAGAACCCTGAATAAGACATCCAGGAATTCAGTGGATGCGTGGACAGAAAGACTAAGATGAGAGTTATGGGGACACAGCTGTCACCGGTAGAGGGTCGTGTCTACAAGTTGTCCAGGTTCTTGTTGTTTTGAACAAAGGATTGGACAAAATGCCCAGCAAAGCAAAGAAAGAATGCAGCAACAAAAGAATGAAAGCAGGGATACTTTGAAAATGAAAGTACACTCCATAGTGTACCGGGAGCTGGCCAAGCAGCAGCTCAAGGGCCCAGATACAGAATCTTCTTGGGTCCAAATACCTCCTGGAAGTTCCCCATTGGCCACTTTATGCTCACCTCATGTAAATGAAGGGGTAGCTCGCAATCAGTTTGATTGGTTGCAGAAAACAGCTAACCAGTGGCTGAAGTGGAATTACAAAGGTCACAATACTGTGCAAACATCTGATTGGTTGCAAAAAGCAACAAATCAGAGGCCGGAGTGAAGCTACGAAGTTATACCTCTATGCAAATGAAGACTCGGCCTATAATCAGTCTGATTGGTTGTGAACAACAACCATTCAGAGGCTGGAGTGAAGTTACAAAGTTGCAAACGAAGACTCAACTAGCAATCAGTCTGATTTGTTGCAGGACACTGAATTTCCCATCTGCCAGCACAGAAAAGGTGGTGGGTTTGCAGAGTAGCCTCTGGTCCTTTTGCTACCTAGGAATGAAAAGTTGGGGTTTTCCTTTCAATTTAGTTCTGGGAAGTCGGAGTGAAACAGCCTTAGTTTCCCTGCCTTCAGACCCTATTCTCCTGCCTCACAGTAGTAGAGACTGTGCAGGAACTGAGAAACCAGGCGTTCAGTGAATAGTTTCTGGTGGCCTTCGCATTATTCTTTTTAAAATGAAATAGTAATAGACACGATTTTTAACAACAAAGATTAATGACTTTGTAAAGTAAGTCTATAGCAATTATAGCATTGTGTTTAAACTTAAGTACTTAATCGTTCCTTTTCATTTTGAGAATTAGTAGTTAAAATAAAGTGCTTTAAAATAAATTTTTTCATATTTTTCAGCTATTTATATAAAATATAATCAAAGAAGATTTTTTATTTATCATGTATTTTCTTTTGTCTGACAGAATATTGAGTCAGATTCCATTTCTCAATCGCATGTATAGTTGTATCTATCTCTGGACTCTATGTGGTTCTTAACCTCTTTTCTCGCCAGCACATACAGAGTATGTCATTGACTTTGGATCTGCAAAGTAGGCATAAAAAACAGATTCTCTGGGCTGAGGGAAGTGGATGTATGTTTCTTGGTTTGGAAACTCTTTACCCACCCCCAGCAATGCAGGCTTTCTAGAATGAGAATCACCGAATCTAAATAATTAAATCATTAATTATATTCTTGATCCTGGCTTACACAGTTCAAAATTGCTGTCTTATAAATGTTTGAAAAGGTGTTCTGGTATTTGTGTCCTGGTATGTTTATATCAAATAATGTATTACATTGTAGTGTTTCCTAAAGGATTGTAACAATATCAATCAGTTATTTCAACTTTATTCTAATTTTAAACGTACTAGGTGATTGCAGCTATTCCTTTCATCCTGTGATTTCTCCACTCACTTTTTTTCAACTTAAGAGTAAACATTTCAGAAACTCAGAAAGCTGAGAGACTAGCACAACAAATAACTTTTTTTAGACTCTACAACTCATATTATTTTTCCGTCTTTGCTTTGTCTCTCCCAGGAAAATTTAGTTTTTCAGAACTGTTTGAAAGTAAGTTGCATGTATTATGGCAATTCACCCTTAAATACCTCAATATGCATCTCCAAATAAACACAATACCTGTAGCACACCAAAGAAGATTAAATGTTCTGTAATACCATTGAAATCAGTCTATGGTCAAAATGCCTCAATTTTTTTCCATAATATATGATATAACTTTCTAACTTTTTTTGGAACCAGGATTGAATTAGGTTTCCAACACTAAATTTGATTTTGCATCTCTTGAATATTGTTTATGCTAAAGTGTCTCTCCACCTTTTTATTTAAACTAACTTTAGAAGTGTCCTGGTCAGTTACTTTGTAGATTGGTGCTGCTAAAATGTTAGTGTGCTCATGAATTAACTAAGAGTCAGCTGAAAAGCAGATTCCTATTGAGTAAGTCTAGCTTGGGGTATGAAAGTGTACAATTCTAAAAAGCTTCCAGGTGATATTATAGGTCTGAGGACCAAGCTTAAGGTTGTAGAAGGTCCTACATTCCTAATTTATTTCTCCATTTCTATTTCCTCCTAATAGGTGTTGTTTTTATTATTTTTTACTAGGATCTCTACTTTTAGTTTAATGTAAACTGGAAAAAAAGATTATGCTTGATTGGATTCATGTTAAATATTTTTGGCCATAATACATAATAAAAGGTATTATGTTCTTCATATTGCATCATTTGAGGAGTTACTTGTTATGATATTCCCAAGTCAGTGATGCTAGTTTTATCACTTAATGAAGGTGATGATTGACAGATCTCTCCATTGTTAAGTCATGTTCTTTCCCTTTTGCAATTGGCCTGTTATCTGTGGGGTGCTATTTTAGCTTATGCAGATATCTTGATTTGCAACAGTCTTCCCTCTGTGTTTGTTTTAACGTGATTACTTTTATTTTCATGATGGTTTAAATTTGTACTAAAACACTATATTTAAATACCACCACCAATAATAATAAATCCACTACATTGTAAACCTATATATAATTTATTGAGTAGTAGGCTTAAAAGGAAACAATTCATTCAAGACTTTGGATCTGCATTTAGTTTAAAAACATTGTAAACACTCAAACCTTATCATGCCAAAGTAAAACTTAAAGAGCTATTAAAAACAAATACATTGTTATTTTGGTTATAATTCCTCCTAGAAGAAGTCTACCAGATGCATGCACAACTACCAGGGGAGTGAACATAGCAGCCTTCACAAAGTGTCATGAAAGCATAGACCCTCATTTTTCCATCCTCAGCCTCCAGCAGGACAATACGGGGCCTCTTGATGACCACGAGCTTCCCTTGGTTCCTTGTGCTGGCACTTGCTTGGTTTTGTAGTTTAAAACCACCATTAAGAAAAGACTGTTTGACTGTTTAAACAGTGAACTGCCATGAACTGTCCTTCAACTCACTTCAGTTGGATGTGAAACAGTAAGATGACCAGGCAGGCCTGCGGCTTCTCCCCAAGTTCAAAGCCCTGTGAGAGAGGTGCAGGAGCCATGCCTGCATGGAGATTGGAAACATGCAGCTGGGGGCAGCAGCTGAGGGGCTGTCTTAGAAGGCCAAATGCTGGACCCTGTAAACTGGACACTGGAACCCAGGTTTGGAACATTGGCAGTTGTGCAGCTGGACTCCATCCATGGCCATTCTGATAGGCTGCAAACTCCAGCACCATCCTGCTGTACTTTGGTGCAGGAACGCTTCTCCCTTCCTATACAGAGTCTGGGAAAGAGTGGCCAAGGTTGCTGTACCTGTTTTTCAACCAACAGCTCATCCTTGCCAAGGCCAATGGGGCATTTCTGCCAGTCCACCCGAGACTTGTCAGAAGACCTGAACTAGATGGTGCTCCTGTTGCTTGAATACATTCTAGATGAGCAACTCCACCGAAGACCTCAAAGATCTGGCATTACACTATGGGATTATTTCAATGGTGAAGATTTCTTGGCCTTTATCACCAAGGGTGGAGAGAGAGGCTAAGGAGAGAAGAGAACCAGACTTTTGGAGGTAAGTGTCAAAATCTCTTCAAACCCATTAAAGCCATTACTTTGTTAACTGTCTCCTTAGGTCATTATTACGTGGGACCTGCTTTTTTACAGACAACTCAATCTCCATTTTACCATAGGAGGTGTTGAAAGTTAAAACATACTTTTCTGGAGAACCTCAAGATCCAGGCATAGTTTGGATGCCTGTAATCAGAAGGCAAAAAATAATCAGATGATTATTTTTTGCCTGCTATATGCTATGTGGTTGTGACTCATTTTGATTATATATGCTCACAAAATGCTTCTAAATTCTTTTGCCTTTATCCACTGAGTCTCTCTCCAAGGTTTCACTAGTCTGTTTGAGTGATTTATTCTTAATCTTACATGTTGTGAAAACCGATTGAGTCCCCATCCACGACTCTCCTCTTTAGTCTAAATTTCTCAGTCATAACCTACTGATACTTGAGCTCCAAGATATCAGTTACCTGCTCTTGACCTAGATTTTAGGTGTGTTCTTTAAGTCAGCTCTTCCATTTCTTCAAGTTGGTTTTTGGTTTTCCCACTACGAAGTCTTCCTACCACCACATCCTATGTGTTCAATAAGTTTATACCATTATTTTCACCACAAGACACGTAACTTCCATACAGCCTTGTGATTGGGCTGCAGTTTTATAGGAGCCGGAGTCTTCAGGCTTCTCCTGATGAAGGCCCTAACTTGCTCTGATGGAGGCAGTCATTCTTGTGCAACATTGACAGGGGTCCTTTGCTCATGTGGACACTAGACTATTGCAGACATAGATTCTGCAACTCCATTAATTTGCCTCTGGGACCCTTGATGAATTGAATATTAAAAAGAGTACCGCTTGCTTCCCAGAAAACCCACTGAAATTCAGAAGTTGCCTTTCCTCCTAGAGTAACTGATACCACACTATCTGCTTTTGGTTGGTACATTCCCCTTGTAGATACATCATTTTCCTTTCTTTAACCTTTTGAGTACATCTTTCATTCAGTTTTGTGGATGCTTTCTTTAGTAGGCATTCCAAACGTGTGTGTGTGTGTGTGTGTGCCCGGTGCATCTGTTTTCTGCTAAAGTATTTTATCACTTCCATGGCAAGACTAATCTGGGCAGTTTGCAGCATCTAAGAGTCTCTTCACTGGAGTTATTGACTGGCCACTAGGACGGGCCTTGTAATGGAGCAGAAGTTGTTAGTGTTAAATAGCCCTTGCTGACTGCCCTTAGCTGTTGAACTCTCTGCTCTCATTTTTGAAGAAGATTCATGGACTGGAGACACAGATCAATGTTGCTAGGGTAGATGAGGCTAGAAAAACAGGGATTCAACCTGGGAGAGCCTGATGCTGCACCTTCCACTCTGGTGTCCTTGAGGGGCCTCAATCTCTTCTTGGTACTGATGAGTACCATTGGTACCATTTTCCAGGACAAAGGACCTGTTTGTAATACAGAAAATGAGCAGCAGTGCTGAGCCCAGGAGAGGGAACAGATAGGGGTGCTACTCCTGTGGTTTGACCCAGATCAGCTGTAACCACCAGATGAGTCTTATCTTGTCATGCCTGTTGATAACAGAACGTCCAGTTATTTTACAGGCACAGAGCTAAGAAGCTGTAAAATCATGTCCCAAATGGTTAAAGAAACAAGTGACTATGAGGAATTACTGAGTTTATGGGATGGCATATGAGAAAAAGAGACAGATTGCTGAAACTTTCTCTACTTGTAAGATAACAAAACGAGTTGAAATTCATTGGAACCAATATGACCAAATGGAGAGCGCACAGAATGAACTTGCTGATGTCACACTCTGAATATCCATCGCATATAGCGTACTAATTCCCCCCAGAGTTACACATGAAGAGGTATTAAGAGACAACTGCACATGCCAGGAGACTTCTCAGACCTCCCCTTTTTACCAGTCATCTGCTAATCCCAGAACTCACCCCCTAAACCTTTACTAATAAATGTACTGTTTTAAAGCCAACATGGAGAGACAGATTTGAGCTTCACCTCCTGTCTCTTTGCCAGTCAACTTCACAATAAAGCCTTTATTTTCCCCAAACCGGTGCCATAGTATTGGCTTCTATGCGAATCAGGTGGGAAGCCCTTTTGCTTGGTAACACAGTAACTTCTGTTGGCTGGCTCCCGAGCTCACTCTGAAATGGGCTGTCAGCTAATTGCCCAGGCCTCCCAGTTGTAGATATATGATGCCTACACCTAACATCTTTGGCTTTATTGATGAATCACTATTGAATCAGTTATCAAATCTGGGCTCACAAAATAATGATTTCTTAATTGATAATTGACATTTAACTAGAAAAAAGAGCTTTCTATTTCTCCTTTAAGTTGGTATTGCTATGTGTTATTTATTTATTTTTAATTATTTAACAGTTTTAACTTATTTGAAGTTTTTTTTCCCCTCATTGTCACAAGTTAGCCACATTAGCCATTTAGTCAGAAGGGACTCCTTCAAGCTGGCTTCTAGGTTCTTTTCATATAACCATAGGTTATTGTTCTTCATATTTTAGTACTTCCTCACTTTCTGCAACTACTACATCTAACATGCTTAACTTGTATTTTCCCTACTTCCGATCAGCCATATTCCCAAGGATCTCTGATCCTTTTAATGGGGAGCAATATTTAGAAAACAAGACGTGGTGACTAGGTGAGCTCATTGCCAGTGGGGTTTCATTGCTTCTAGGTTGTTTTAGTGGATCATTTATTTATTTTTATCAGATCTTATTTGTCTCATATGAGTCATATTATGTTTGGCTGGATTACAACTCCAAATAAAAATTTTGAAGAACATATAAATAGCACATTATTCAGGCTGTGATAATGTTATGAACCAGAGCATAATCGAAAGGTTTTGAAAATATTTTTCTGTCGCCTTCGCACATGGTTAAATGTCATCGGATATAGAACCCAAGCACCACATCTTTTTCTCTAGTTCAGTGATGATGGATGTTGTACTTTCTTCTGTTTCTATATTTGATGAGGAGTCTGAAGTGAGCCCCTATTGTGGTTGATTGGTTGTTGGTTATTTTTAAAGAATAATGTCTACCCAGTTAATAGAATTCCTTGAAATCAGATGTATTCATGAGGATTTTTTTTTTTTTTTTGAGGTTGGTTCTTGCTATTGCCGACTCTGGAGTGCAATGGCACATTCACAGTTCACTGCAACCTCAACTTCCAAGGCTAGAGTGATCCTCCCACTTCAGCTTCTGGAATAGCAGGGACCACAAACACATGCCACCATGCCTGGATAATTATCTTTTGTAGAGGCCAGGTCTCCCTAGATTGGTAAGGTGGTCTTGAACTCTTAGGCTAAAGCAGTCTTTTTGCCTCAGCTTCACAAAGTGCTGGGATTACAGGTGTGAACCACAGTGACAAGCTCATAAAGAATTTTTGAATTTAAATGGATTCATTTTCATATTTATGTGATTATACCTTTAGTACCCTCTCTAGTAACTTGGAGGAACATTTATAATTTCACTCTAGCACTCGAGCCAGAGAGCTACATTTATTTAAGGTTGGGGTAGGGAAGAAAATAGCATCAGAGGCAGCATTAGCTTGTAAAATTTTCTCTGTGATTTCCCTCTCAACTTATTAAGTATTAATACCTGTTATCATCTTTGAGAGGTAGCCCTTTTGTTTAATCCCACTGCATTCATAGAAGCCAGCTACATTTTTGGTAAATTAGATAAGACTCACTCCCTGAAGCACAGTGACATGTTTATTTTTTACTTTGCCATGCATTTTCATCTCATCATTACTGCTATTTCATAGCTGCAAATTTGACTTCCTTAAAGTTCTTATCTTTCCTAGTTTAGAAAGTTGTGGTTCAGGCATAGAGCAAGGGAGAAGAGGGGACAACGTAGCCAAATATTTTCTGAAACTATTTCCCCTAATATCTTCTTTTCCGTTGTGATGAAGGAAGGGCCCAAAATGGTAAAGAGTTTTCAACCTGCTTCCTGCTAATTAGAAGATCATTTTACTAGCTTCCTTCAGACTTCTCTCCGGATTAACCCACAATACTATATGGTGTTTATTTGGGGCTGGATGAGTGTTTGCTACTGGTTAATCCTTTCAGTTTTTTTTTTTTCTAGATTGTATATTTTTCTGGCCAACATATTTTGAACTTTGTGTTCTTATTAGTTTGAGGCTTTCTCCACTTTGGGTATAGGACATTTTATTTTGTGGGGATTTATTTCAGAGGTTACCATGGAAAAGGAACAGGTTTTAAATGTTTATTTTGTTGCCTCTATCTTCAAAGCCGGAGAAACTTAAAGCTTAATGATTTTATCACTCTAGAAATCAGAATCACTTCAGTATAATTTCAGATGCATTCCGATTTGCGCTTCAATACCATAAAGTTCAAAATCCAAGAGCAGTTGGGATGCAAAAGAAAATTGTGCCTTCCTCTACTTTTTCCCAGTTTAGAAATCACAACACACAGTACCACTTTAAAGAGCCTTGTTACAGGTAGCAAAATCTATCATATGCTAAAGATTTTAAAATTTCCTTTTCAAAACACATGACTATGAACATCAAAGGTAAGCAAATCAAATCACTGTTTCAATGCTCCACATTAGTCAGACCTAAGAAAAGAAATATGCTTTTTTCACATTGTGAAACAATTTCTCAATCCAGAAGTTGGAGTCAGGTATTTCTCCTATTGATACATACCAGTCCAGGCTGAATGTTACATTGCAGTCAAGTTCTAATCTAGAACTTTATGTAACTGAAACAAGGTATCTCCTTGTGTCTGGCTTTTTTTATTCTGCATAGTGATTTCAGATCCATTGTGTGTGTGTGTGTGTGTGTGTGTGTGTATGTGTGTGTGTCTCTGTGTGTGTGTGTGTGTGTAAGCAGGCCTCTCCTTTTTATCCATGAGTAGAATTCCAGTGGATCAATATGTCACAGTGTATCCAATCTCCTAATGGTGGACATCTGGAGTGCTCCAGCTTTTTGCCATTATGCATAAAGCAGCTCTGAACAGTTTTGTATATCTTTTCATATGTCCTCATTTCCACTGGATAAACTCTTAGAAATGACATTGCTCAGTCACCAGATAGGTAGGGTATGTTTGTTTTAATAAGATACTGCCAGTTTTTTAAGGGCTTGTGCCATTTTACATTTAGCAAAGTATATATGTGAACTTTGTTCCATATCTTTCTAATATCTGGTATTGTCAGGTTGTTTTATTTGTCTTTTCCAAAACTGATAGTTGAATATGACATCACAAAACAAGCCTAATGTAATCTGTAATTACAAGAGTTTAGTTATTTATGCAGTAAAATGTTATTTATACTTTTTAAAGGATAATTTCCAACAAGTAGGTAAAATATCACGACCAATATATAAACATAGAATTTTATTTGATTACTGAGAGAATCAATAAGATGTTACAACCAATTCACAGGAAAATTTTAAAAATCATGGACCTATATGGGCCAAAAATTTATACATAAATGCAAAACTGGATTTTTTTCATGAGGGTAGGGTAGCAGGAATCCATTGTTTTCCCACTGAACAAAAGTTATTTCTGTGACTATAAATGAAAATTACTTGGATTGCTGTTATCTATAACTTACAGAGTAGTAAATAAATAGCTTGAAAACAATTATATAGAGGCATAAAATCAGATAACCTTTAAGCATGTATTCCAACCAATGCATGTTTTTCTTGTGGTTGTTGAAGCCATTCAGTAATTTTTTGTTTCATTACAAAAACTTCCACAATTTTTTCTACATCCTATACTTAGTATTAAAATGATCTGTTTGATTTATTATAACTCCTCTTCTTCTCTACACAGGTGGTATGCATTTAAAAGACTTATCGTATCATGTTATTTGGAGGCTAAATCTATATGGATAACTCAGAGAATAGTGATATAGTCTCTCCAATAAGTATGTTATCTTTAAAGAAAAAAAAAACATTCTTCCAACATGAAGCTGATCTAGCCAGTAATAGCTGTCTACTTGAGGTTCCATAACTGCTCCTGGATGAGGATGACAGAGAACTGGCCACGTCAAGAGATAAAAATACCTAATTGCCAGTTCCATATGTGTGTGTCTGTGCATGTGAGAGAGAGAGAGAGCAAGAGAGAGACAGAGAGAGCGTGCGTGCGAGAGAGCACATTATTAGGAAGCATCCCTACTATTCTTTTTGAAATGAGGTCTGATATGGTTTGGTTCTGTGTCCCCACCCAAATCTCATGTCGAATTATTATCCCCATGTGTGTAGTGGCCTGGTGGGAGGTGATTGAGTCTTGGGGGCAGGCTTCCCCCTTGCTATTATTGTGATAGAGTTCTCATGAGATCTGGTTGTTTGATAAGTGTCTGGCACTTCCTCCTTCTCTCTCATTGTCTCCTACTGCCATGTAAGGATTGTCTTGCTTCCTCTTTGCCTTCTGCCATGATTGTAATTTTCCTGAGGCCTTCCCAGTCATGAAGAGCTGTACATCAATTAAACCTCTTTTGTTTATAAATTACCCAGTCTCCGTAGTTCTTTATAGCAGTGTGAAAATGGACAAATACAATGTCATACTAATTCCTGTAGAAGTTAGGCACCATATCAGGTAGTACATATACATTTTTTTCTGACATTTTGTTAATATTAGGAAAATACTTACAAAGAAAATTGTATATCATACACACAGAGAAAGACACACATATTCTCTTAACAGAATCAGAACTATTGTTAGGGAATTTTAGCAAAATCCAATAACTATAATTTGACTATTTAAAAAAGTGATTAATTACCTGCATGGCCAGTTCTCTGTCATCCTCATCCAGGAACAGTTACGGAACTTCAAGTAGACAGCTATTACTGGCTAGATCAGCTTCATGTTGGAAGAATGTTTTTTTTTTTCTTTAAAGATAACATACTTATTGGAGAGACTATATCACTATTCTCTGAGTTATCCATATAGATTTAGCCTCCAAATAACATGATACGATAAGTCTTTTAAATGCATACCACCTGTGTAGAGAAGAAGAGGAGTTATAATAAATCAACTAATGAACACTTCAGGCTACCAAATGAGGGTTAGTTTGGAGAGGAAAGACACATGCTATTAAGTTAGATAATTATTTTTTGTTTTACCCCTAATTAATTCATCAATTTAATCATTTACTGCTGGTTTTAATATTGGATTGATAACCTATAATTTATTCAATCATTCAGTATAATTGTATTGTGATTTTCCTGAAAGCTAGCTGTAGTTTTAGGTATTGGGGGTATGAAAATGTAGTGTTCTTAAAAACAGCCTGTCAGAGGAGATGGACAAGTTTAAAATTTTTGCTAAAATGTAATATGGGTTAAAATAAAAATTATTTTCTTAAATAGTGATGTCAATTTTAAATGAAGTATAAATTATGTGCTAAATTCTCTTTGAAAAACAGGTGGTTTAACTTTGAAAGAAAACACTAAGTTTAAATTTAAGTAAATTAATCCATTTAAGCAATACCTTTTTTGGCATGCTAGAATAGACTGAAGTTATGATTCAACTTTTTAAAAAATGAAATTTTAAATAAAATACTGTGTCACAATGTGGATACAGATGTATTTGTAAAAAAATAATACAAGAGATTCTGTGCCTTGCCTAGTTTCTCTCAGTGATATCATCTTGAAACCTGTAGTACAATAGGGCAATCAGGATATTGACACTGATATAGTCAAGGTACTGAAAAGTCTATCATCACAAGGATACTTACTGTTGCTCTTTTACAGGCATACCCACCTCCCAAATCCCTATCTCTGACCCCTGGCAACCACTAATCTGTTCTCTATGTCTATAATTGTACCATTTCAAGAATGTTTTATAAATGGAATCATACAGTATTTGAGCATTTGGAAGTGGCTTTTTTTCACTCCACACTATTATCTGGAAATTGATCCAGTTTGTTGTTATTAATAGTACATTTGTTATTATTGCTGGGTAGTATTCCATGGTATTGTGTAAGCTTTCACCTGTTGAAGGGCATCTGTGTTGTTTCCAATTTGGGGTCATTATGAATAATGCTATGAATATTCATGTGCAGAATTTTTGTGTGTGGAAATACATTTTTATTTCTCTATAACAGTGCACAAGAGTACATTTTGCTGGATCGTATGGGGGTTGCATGCTTTGTTTTATAAGAAACTTTCAGGTTGTTTCTAGAGTTCCCTTATTATTTTACATTCCTCTCACCAATGTTTGAGTATTCCAATTTCTCCACATCCCAACAACATTTGGTGGTGGTATTATATTTTATTTTAGCTATTTTGATAGGAGTGTAGTGATAGTTCCTTGTGATTTTTATTTCCATTGCCCTAATAGTTAATGATATTGAATATCTTTTCATGCACTGATTTGTCATCTATGTATCTTCTTTGAAAAAAACAAGTCTGTTCATGTTTTTTGCCTATTTTCTAATTTGATTTTTTTTTACTGTTGTTTTGAGAGTTCTTTATATATTCTTGATATGAGTCCTTTCTCAGATAATATGGTCTGCAAATATTTTCTCTCAGTCTGTAGATTTCCATTTCATCCTTTAGAATGAAGTTTCTCAGAATAATTTTAAAAAATTTTAATGAGGACCAACTTACTAATTTTTATGTATATGGACTGTAATTTTGGAGTCAAGTCTAAGAAATCTTTGCCTAGCACTAGATCCAGAAGATTTTCTCTATGCATAAATGATTCAGGAAAAGCTATTACTCTGGGATCTGTGTCATGTCTGTCTAATTTTGTAAGGTGCCTAGCAAAGTTAAGAATAGTTAGTATTTAAGGTAAATTATGGGGCACCAAAAGCCTACTCTACCCTATGTTTTTCTGGCATTGTTATTTTACCTTAAATACATATACATATATACATGTATATATATGTATATACATATATATACGTGTATACACGTGTGTATATGTATATACATACACGTGTGTATACGTGTGTATATGTATATACATACACGTGTGTATACGTGTGTATATGTATACACATACACGTGTGTATACGTGTGTATATGTATATACATACACGTGTATATCTATGTATATACATACACGTGTATATCTATGTATATACATACACGTGTATATACGTGTATATACATACACGTGTATATACGTGTATATAAATGTATATACATACACGTGTATATACGTGTATATAAATGTATATACATACACGTGTATATACGTGTATATATGTATATACATACACGTGTATATACGTGTATATATGTATATACATACACGTGTATATACGTGTATATATGTATATACATACACGTGTATATACGTGTATATATGTATATACATACACGTGTATATACGTGTATATATGTATATACATACACGTGTATATACGTGTATATATGTATATACATACACGTGTATATACGTATACACATATACATATACGTATACCTATATACGCATACGTGTATACGTATACCTATATACGCATACGTGTATACGTATACCTATACGCATACGTGTATACGTATACATGTGTATATACGTATATACGTATATATGAATATGTATTTACGTATATACGTATACATGTATACGCATACTCACGTATATACGTATACATGTATATACGCATACCCACATATGCGTATACATGTATACGCATATCCATATATGTGTGTATACATGTATACGCATATCCATATGTGTGTGTATACATGTATACGCATATCATATGTGTGTGTATACATGTATACGCATATCATATGTGTGTGTATACATGTATACGCATATCCATATGTGTGTGTATACATGTATACGCATATATGTGTGTGTATACATGTATACGCATATCCATATGTGTGTGTATACATGTATACGCATATCCATATGTGTGTATACATGTATATGCATATCCATATGTGTGTATACATGTATATGCATATCCATATGTGTGTATACATGTATATGCATTCATATGTGTGTATACATGTATATGCATTCATGTGTGTATACATGTATATGCATATTCATGTGTGTATACATGTATATGCATATTCATATATGTGTATATACATGTATATGCATATTCATATATGTGTATATACATGTATATGCATATTCATATATGTGTATATACATGTATATGCATATTCATATATATGTGTATATACATGTATATGCATATTCACATATATGTGTATATACATGTATATGCATATTCACATATATGTGTATATACATGTATATGCATATTCATATATATGTGTATATACATATATATATATGGGGAGAGAGAGAGAATCATTGCTGAAAATCAAACATTCTACGGGGAAATCAACACGCCTAAGGCATTAATAGATAAATTGAATTAGTTAAGCAAATTTCTGAGAAAATGGGCCAAAATCGAATATGTCTGACAATTTGATAAAATGGAAGCAGATGGGGGGATACTCATCACTAAAGATATTGACCATTCCATTGATAATACATAATAATGTATTAAAACATAATACTTTTTAATTCTTATTAATATAAGGCAGTTAAGTTAACTTTAAAATATTTTGTATCCAGCAGATGAAGTAAATCTATTAAATTTTCTCCTTAATTTTATTAGTACATCAATTTACTAAATTAAATTTCACTATAAGTATCATTTTCCTGCTTTTAATGAGAATGTCTCTCATGTTTAATCATTAAACATTATGCTCATCTTTGATTTGAGATGGACAATTTGTATGCTGTTCATCGTATAATGGCATGACTTAAAACTCAAGAATGGATATATAATTTTATTGAATATCTCTTTGGAATGTATAAAGCTGTTTTCTCCATATATGATTTCATATAGTATAGCATTTCCTAAAACCGTGATGACTTTGTAATCATCCTAAAAGTATTCTCTGAGATGAATATAATTATTTTAACACAGTGCTTCAGTTTATTTGCTGGTATTTGTTTCATGATTGTTACTTCTATACATGTAAGATTAGTCTGAAGTTTCTTTTTCCTCTGTGGTTTTTTTATAGTTTCTGCTGACAGTTTTATTGTAGCTTCATAAAATTAATATAAAATGTCTTTATTAAAATACTTTAGAAGGATGAAATTTTTGTTTGTTTGTTTAAACTCGTCAAGGCCCAGATGTAACTTACTCATGAAACTACTCTGGAGATTTACTATCTTGATATAAGAATTATAACATATTCTAATTTTTCTTTATAACTGATTTATTCAAATATATTCATAATTCTATGTTAAATTTTGTTAGTGTTTGACTTTGTGAATTTAAACATCTTAGCACCAAATTTTATATTTTACATATTTTATTTTATTAACGTATCCTCATAAAACTCTAAATGTAATTTTATCATCATTCTAGCTATTATAATTTTTCAAGTGGACTTCACATTTAGTATTTTATTATCAAAATATAGCTTACTGCATTATAGAAAAAATTGCCATTGTCATTTATGATACATTGAGGTTTTGATTTGCCCAGTGCATAATTTCTTTTTAAAGTGATTTTTAATGATTTATAATAAATGAAATGTCCTGTTTACAAAGCCCCAAATTTAGTGCATTTTAATTAATAGAACAATCTTATGTATTTAATTTTTAGCTACATTTTTAGTCTTCTATTGACTATAAATAATACCAATTCTTGTCTGTTTTATAACTCCTCTCTTCTCTTGGATTACAGAGATCATACCTTTGTTTTTTAATATTTTCAACTTTAATTATATCTTTAATTTTGACTAACATGTCAATGGCTTCCATAATTTTTTAAAAGTATTTTTCTCTAAGAATACTACATGAGTGATGTGGCAGACATTCTTGGTTGCTTATAAATACCTGTATATCTTTTCTTCCATCTAAATAAAGAAAATATTTAGTAGGTAGGCATACTTGGTACTTTGTCCAATCTCCTCTTTTTCTCTGAATTTTGGATGTGATGTCTGAAAGTGGAATAGCCATGTTGCAACCAGAAAGACTACAACAGTTTCTATGGATCATGAATCTGGGGCATGACTTAGTTGTGTGCCTATGTTCAAAGTTTCTCATGACATTGTGGTCACAGAGTTAACCTGGACTGTGTTCTCATCCAGAGGCTCAGATGAGGGAGGATCCACTTCTGCGTTTACTCATGTTGTTGAACTAAAGGCCTTAGTTTCTCTCTGACTCTTCCTCATCATGTGTGCTTCTCCATCAGAAAACTCTCAACATGACAGCTGGCTCAGTTCAGAGTGAATGAGAGAAAATTCCCAGATGGAAGCCAGTCTTTTCATAATCTTATTTCAGAAGTGATATCACATCATCTCAGTGACATTCCATTCACTGTAAGTCAGTAAGCCTGACCCACACTCAAGGGGAGGAGAAGAAACAAAGATACAAATTCTAGGAAGCCACCTTAGAAGGTGTTTCCAAAAAATTGATACCACAAGCTTAGAATGACAAAGTGTCATTCCTCTACTCATAAGGGGAAAACATTTACAATTACCAATTATCTATATCATTAGGCTCTCTCATAATTGCCATCAAGAAGTTTATAGATTCATGCTACATAGATCACTTTACATTGGTCTCTTTGGATCTTTGAGAATGTCTGAAGGATCATTAACTTAGTCCCTGATAGTATCACTGAGCAGCTGCATCAGTTCTGACATTCTACTTCTGGAATTATTGTTATGTGATCCCTACTCCTATACTCCTCTGGCTTCCCCAAAAAGGGAAACATAATTTAATAGGCTTGTTGAACCTCTGTAGTCAGCCCAAATGCAATGCTGAAGTGATACGGTGGCATATTCTCTGAGTTTTTCTATGACTGAAAGTATGATACATTACACTAACTAGATGTGCTTCTTTCTTCCTCTTTTCCTCTCTTCCTCTCCTCCCTTTTTTGCTTACTCTGTTTTTCATAAGTCTTATTTATCATTTTGTATAAAGCCTGTGAGAATTGCTTAAACAGATTTTTCAGTACCTTGAGCTGGTTTTCTACAGTATTAAAACTACTGTTTAATATCTCTGCAAATAGTTTGGCAGAATGTGTTTGTGTTTTTATCTCTGCAAGTGCTTCTACCAAAGCATTCAGAAATTATTCCTTTTTTTTTTTTTTACAAATGTGATGAATTTTCAAATTATATGGAGAGTAAAAATAAAAATCTTAATATCTTTTTCCTCATTTGGGGGCGTACTATCTTTCTTAGGGCTCAAATTTGTTTGATTTTTAAGAAGAAAAGACTTGTGATGTATTAATTGATTGGCTTTTTTTTTAAAAAAAGATAGAGGTTTATATTTATTCCTATTTGGGATCAAAATTGATTCTTTTAGACACTATGGATGTTTTAGATACATAAATTGAGGATACTATTGCATATCAGGGAGATCCACTGCTTTTGCAACAGTTTCTTGTTTCAGTGAGGGCTTTCAGGTGCTCTTGCACATTGTATTATTTTCCTATGGTTGCTGCAACAAATTACCACAAACTTGGTGGCTTAAAAACAGAAATTTATTCTTTCACAGTTCTAGAGGCCAGAAACTGTCTGAAGTCATTGTCACTGGGCTGAAATCAAGGTGTCAGCAGGGCTGCACTTTCTCCAGAGGCTTTAGGGCAGAAACTATTCATTGCTTCTTTCACCTTCTGGTGCTTGCTGGCATTCCTTGGTTTGTGAGCATATTTCCCCAATCCCTGCCTCTAAGGTCACATTGCCTTCTCCTCTTGTGTGTGCTAATTCTCCTGCTGTCATTCTCTTTTAAGGACTTGTGATTGCACATAAGCCCACCAATAATCTAGGAATATTTTAATAGCTCAAGATAATTTAATCACATCTGCAGTCTTTACCATATAAGGTGACATTCATAGGTTCCAGGAATTAGGACATGGGCGTAACCTTGGGAGCCATTATTTAGCCTACTACAGACACTGCAGCCTTTTCCTTAATATGCTCATTAGTACTCTGCTTTATTTACCATGTCGTTTCTATTCAAAATAGTTCCCAATTGCAACCACTGGTGGGCTCCTGAAGTTATGTAATTCTCCCTGCAACCTCCTTTTACTATTGCCTCATAGCCTTTCTTTACTTACAACAAATGCTATTTTGAGCTTAGAGGCTCAGATTATTTTTCTGGGAAACCTCTTCTGTTTATTTCCCAGTGCAGCTTTCCTTCACGTGGTTTAAATTTCAAATTGGATGATCATTTATTCTTTAAAAAAATGCACAATGACATTATCAGAATTATGCTTGTTCTAGATCCTACTCATATTCTATTTTACAAAAATTTATCAAGGTTTGTGCCTGCTAATTAAAGCCCCCCATGATTTGCACTGATGGAGGGTATACAAAAAAGGCTTACCTCTATTTGAATTATTTTTTGGTCATTTTACTGTTATGCATAAAGAGAAGGAAGCTGAATGCAAAACCGTATGTCATCATCCAGCATGTAAAATATGAGACTAAGCCCACAATAGTGACCTGAGAATTTTTGTTTAAGGGAACTATTTTAATGTTTACATGTATTTTTAAGTTAAATTTCTATTTTGAGTAATTTTAGATTTACAGAATAGTTACAAAGATAGTACAGAAAGTTTTCATATACCCTTTACCCAATTTCCCCTTGTTGCTAACATCTTACATTTCCATGGTACATTTATCAAATTAAGAAACCAGTACTGATATATTATCATTAGCTAAACTTTGGACTTTTTTGGATTTCATAGCTTTTTCATGAGTGTCCTCTTTCCATTCCAGGGTCCAGTTCAGGTTGCTATATTGCATTTGGTTGCCATGTCTACTTCAACTTCTCTGGTATGGGACAGCTTCTTGTCTTGCATTGTTTTGTATAACCTTAATAGTCTTCAGGAGTACTCTGATGCCTAGGCTGGAGTGGTGCCATCTCGGCTCACTGCAGTTTCCACCTCCCAGATTCAAGCGATTCTCCTGCTTCAGCCTCCCGAGTAGCTGAGACTACAGGCACGCACCACCATGCCCTGTTATTTTTTTATTTTTTTATTTTTATGTTTCTGTATTTTTAGTAGAGATGGGTTTCACCATGTTGGCCAGGCTGGTCTCAAACTGACCTCAGGTGATCCTGCCTCAGCCTCCCCAAATGCTGGGATTACAGGTGTGAGCCACTGCACTCAACCTGTTTTTGTTTGTTTGTTTTTAATTATTAGACTGGGTTTATTGTTTTTTTCTTAGAATATGATCAAGGTAAGGTAAAGAGCCCTTCACGTTACATTATATCAGACATTCTATAATGTCCACATGAAATCTCAGGTAATGTTAATCTCCTTCACTAGGTGAAATTGTCAGCCAGATTTCTCTACTGTAAAGTTACCTTATCCCCTTTTTTTACTACTTTTTCAGAAGTAGTAAGTGTCTAACCCTGGCCCACATATGGAGAGAGTTAAGCTCCACTTCCTAGCATGGAAGAATATCTACAGATGTTATTTAAAATTATTCAGTAAGAAAGACTTTTCTGCCACTAAATTTATGAATTTATTCAATTATTTATTTCTATCATCCTGAACTCATGCTTATTTATCTTTTACTTTGGGTTATATTTTGTCTATATTTAGAATATATTTTAATATGTGTTTTTAAAATATTTTTATCACATTATTTCCATTTTGGACATTAGTAGCTCTTTCATGTTGGTTTCTGTGCTCACTTGACATTCACTTGACATTTCTGTATCCTTTTGCTTTTGAAGAACTTTCTTACTTTTTGGTACTAAAAGGTATTCTAGACATATCTTACATATTTTTTCTACTGTAATATGTTTTGGGCCTGTCCCCACCCAAATCTTGTCTTGAATTCCCACATGTTGGAGGGACCTGGTGGGAGGTAATCGAATCACGGGGGGTCAGATCTTTCCCATGCTATTCTAGTGATAGTGAATGAGTCACATGAGATCTGATGATTTTAAAAAGAGGAGTTTCCCTGCACAAGCTGTCTTCTCTGCTGCCATGAGAGATGTGACTTTCACCTTCTGCCAAGTTTGTGAGGCCTCTCCAGCCTCATGGAACTGTAAGTCCAATAAACCTCTCCTTTTTTGTAAATTGCACAGTTTTGAGTATGTTTTTATCAGCAGAGTGAAAATGGATTAATACATACTGCATGCCTAGAATCCACTACATCTCCAATGAGCCATGGTTTCCTTTACTGAAGAATGACATTTAGAGATAAAGATATAGGCACTGTGCTCATTGCTACTGGGGCATCAATGCTAACCATGTATACTAGTTTGTTAGGGCTGCCATAACAAAGCATTGCAGACTGATGGCTTAAAAACAAAAATGTATTTTCTCACACTTTTGAGAAAATAAAACTAAGGCTAAATGGCCAACATCAAAGTGTCGGCGGGTTTGGTTTCTCCTGAGAGCTCTCTCCTTGGCTTACAGATGATCACCTTCTTTGCTGTTTCCTCCCATGGTCTCCCCTCTGCATGCACATCCCTGTGGTCCAAATTTCCTCTTCTTATGATACCATTCAATTGATTAGACCTGCTCTGATGGCTTCAGTAAGGTAGTGGAAGTTAGAACTTCAACATATGAACTTCAGGGGGACATAATTCAGCCCATAACACTATTTGCACACATGTATCTATAATTAAATTTGTATCTGTTCATTACTGTGCATATGTATATATGATCTGAACCACCCAGATGTCTTCCTGAGCCCTCCCTTCCCTCATGTAAACTCACATATGTGAGCTAAAAGTAGGAGTGCTAAGTAAGTGTCATAAGTTATAATCCATGCTATAGAGTACCTTAAATTTAGTAAGTAAAGTGATTAAAAGCTTAATGAATAATGTTTACTGTCAGTGTTTTTGTGATGCAGGGAATTTGGGAACCATCTTTTTAAAAGTTACACTTCTTTTTACAAATTTTGTATTGATTATGTATGACTTACTTATAAGTGTTGAGGACTTGAAATACTTATATTAATGTTCCAAAGAGATTTACATAAATATCAAGGTAATTCTATAAACCTCCTGGAGGCATTCATTAAAAAACCTAAAGAAATACAGAAACGGTGCCTTAAAATTTTCCCTGCATATGTACTGAAAGTAGTCATTATTAAGCTAATACTTTATGGAGTTTGGATAAATATTTTAATCATTATTATTCTAGGCTATAGAAATAATTATTTTAAAAATAATTTAACTAAATAAGTTTTATATTTTCCAGAGATAAGGATTATATTTTTAGGAAAAAAATACATTGTCTCAATACTTTTCTTTTTAGCTCATGAATAAAAATTTTTTAGTTTAAATTAATTCCCTTTTTTGACACAGATTATAGCTACATACAAAATCAGGAAGCAGGCCAACATTTGGTGTTTCCATTCTATTTCTGCATCTGCCTCCTTTTTTCCCCTTTCAGACTCCCCATCTCCTCTGGTAACCAGTGAATTTATATTTGTTCATCTCCACTTGAGAAACATTTCCTAAAGAAATGTCTTGATAAAAAATTAATGCTTAAGACTGAGGAGTACAAGAACAGCGTGTTATTCCCACTGCATTAAAAAACTATGGTTTAAACTAAAAAAATTGGAAAGAAGTAGGTTTTCTTTTTTTTTCTTTCTATAGCAGAAGTTGGTGAATAGATAGAGAAATATATGTTCTAATTCAGCTTAAGACTGAGGAGTACTAGGAACAGCATATTATTCCCACTGCATTAGAAAACTATGGATTAAACCAAAAAAAGTTGGAAAGAAGTAGGTTTTCACTTTTTTTCTTTCTATGGCAGAAGTTGGTAAATAGAGAAATATATATACTAATTTATCATATACTCTGGTTAGTCACAATACTAGGGATTTTTCATATTCTTTTACATGGCCATGGTGAGTTAAACAGTGCCCCCTACAAATTCATGTCTATCCAAAGCCTATTAATGTGACTTTACTTAGAAATAGGGTTTTTTTTTGCATATATAATCAAATTAAGGTGAGTTCATATTGGAGTAAGGAGGGCCCTAAATTCAATATGAATGGTGGCCTTATAAAATGAAGGAAATTTAGACAAAGAGAAATGGGTATGCAGAGAGAAGAATGCCATACAATTATGGAGGCAGAAACTGGAGTTAAACTGGTACAAGCCAAGAAACACCAAAAATTGCTAACAATCGCCAAAACCTAGAGGAGGCATTTTGGTTATGACAGCTCTAAGAAACCAATACAATGGCTGTTTCACCATCCTGACCAAAGAGGATTCAGAGACAGAAAACTGAGTTTTGAGAGATTAAATAATATGTTCTAAATTATATAATTTTGTAAGAAGTGAGACTATAACTTAAATTGAAACTGAGTTTCAGAAAAATATTCATGCTACTACCATTATCAAAGCTAGTGGATCTTTTTAAGAATATATAAGATATAGAGAGAGCTAAATTTATTCCTAGAATTTCTCTGAATTTGCAGTTCACCCAGCATACATGTTCATATATATACATACACTCTCAAACATGTCACTTTATATTTAATAGATATAAATAGTTTAATTAGCCTTATTAAAAGACCAGCATTTATAATCACAAAGCAAATCATTAAGATAACCACGAATATAAGAATACTAACAATATGTGACATATGTAATAGATTTTTGGATGGAATAAACAGTTGGTATAAAAAGAAGGTATGGTTACTGTCAAAATGAAGTCATAAACACAGGGAAGCAGAGCTAATGTGTCTGATTCATGTTACTATATAATTGATTTCAGTGTATAGTGGATCAGATGGTATTTCTGACCTTTTTAAGCAAGAACTTTCTCGGTAAGAGAAAGAATAAAGAAAGATAAAATATCTAAGCCAAAATTAAAGAGGTGACAAGCACTCTCAGTAAAATCTTGTTACAATCTGACAATGATCTCTGAACAGTGCTTTTTATATGTTAGGTACTCAGTAAGACAGTGTTTGATAATTTAATGACCGAAGGTCACGGTTCTTATGGAGTATCCAACTCTAAATTAAAAGAAGACTTTACTGTTTTATTGTTGGAAATTAATCCATGTATAAGACTTCTACAAATATTTGCCTCCTGGTATGTTGTCTGTTCTTTTTCTGCTCCAATTCCCTCATGGTATTTCTATGTAAAAACCGCTGATCTGAAAGATCCATAGGGTTAACACCATTCAGGCATCACTAAAAGAAATGGGACACTGTTATTCTCTTGTTTATTTCATAATTGATCAGACAACAGTCAACAAGAAACAGTCTCTATTGTATATTGAATTTTCAGATATATTGCAAGTGAAGAATGACATAAAATAAGTTACAGCTACTAAACAGATAAGAGATTGCAGAGCATTTCTTACCAGGACAGGTTCCTCCTCTACTCCTGTCCTTTCTTTCTTTTTTTTTTTTTTTCAGGTTCCCTTGTACTTTAATAAGAGATTGAGTGGCAAATAATTTTCTAGAACTAAAATAGCACAATCTCGGGCGAAGGATATGAACAGACACTTCTCAAAAGAAGACATTTATACAGCCAAAAGACACATGAAAAAATACTCAGCATCACTGGCCATCAGAGAAATGCAAATCAAAACCTCAATGAGATACCATCTTACACCAGTGAGAGCGGCGATCATTAAAAAGTCATGAAACAACAGGTGCTGGAGAGGATGTGGAGAAATAGGAACACTTTTACACTGTTGGTGGGACTGTAAACTAGTTCAACCATTGTGGAAGTCAGTGTGGCGATTCCTCAAGGATCTAGAACTAGAAATACCATTTGACCCAGCCATCCCATTACTGGGTATATACCCAAAGGATTATAAAACATGCTGCTATAAAGACACATGCACATGTATGTTTATTGTGTCACTATTCACAACAGCAAAGACTTGGAACCAACCCAAATGTCCAACAATGATAGACTGGATTAAGAAAATGTGGCACGTATACACCATGGAATACTATGCAGCCATAAAAAATGATGAGTTCATGTCCTTTGTAGGGACGTGGATGAAGCTGGAAACCATCATTCTCAGCAAACTATCACAAGGACAAAAAACCAAACACTGCATGTTCTCACTCATAGGTGGGAATTGAACAATGAGAACACATGGACACAGGAAGGGGAACATCACACTCTGGTGACTGTTGTGGGGTGGGAGGAGTGGGGAGGGATAGCATTAGGAGATATACCTAATGTTAAATGACGAGTTAATGGGTGCAGCACACCAACATGGCACATGTATACATATGTAACAAACCTGCACGTTGTGCACATGTACCCTAAAACTTAAAGTATAATTTAAAAAAAATTAGTACTCCTGTCCTTTCTTCATGTGTTCTGGGCCAGCTCCTGCTTGCCTCTCGGCTTTCCTGAGCATCTCCTTGCCCTAGGGTACAGTACCTGCCCAAAGCCCAAGAGTTGGTTGATTATTTTTTACTCCATTATGAGATTCTATTATGAGACATGTCATTTGTGTCTTTTTTTAAGGATGCTTGTTAACACGATTGTCACTACAGAAAACATTATAGCAGAGTGATTAAGAATGTAGTCTCTGGAGTCAAACAGGCTGGATTTAAAGACATGCTCTAAAAATTACTGGTTGTTTGCCTTTTCCTTATGTACACCTTTATACTCTACATTTCATTTTCCTTATCTATATTCTATAATGATATATTCATGGTGACTAAATTTGATATATTTCATCAAGTGCCTGGTTTAGACATGTAGTAAGTATGCAAAAATCTTAGTTTGTTTATTCTTTTTCTTTAAAAAAGTCTCCACATTCTCATACACATACTCTCTACTACCTATGCAATAAGACATTCATGCAATAAAGTGAGAAAACATTGCTCCATGTTTGGGCTGTACAGTTTAAAATAACATCATAGTGTTTCATCACTATGACCATTGGATCTGCACAAATATTAGCTCATTTTCTTTTGAGCTTCACTCATCAAGTGGCTAAAAATCATGGAATACAGCATCTGAGAAAATGAGTTATAGTTACTTCAGAAAATAAAACATAAACTCTATAAGATGAGAAGTAAAACGATCACGATTTACTAGAATAAAGTGACTGAATGACCATAAATATATAAGCGGTTGCTCATGGAAGTGTATAAGGTGATTGGCAAGAAATTGATGCACATAGGTATGTGGAGAAAAAGAAAACTAATATTGAATGGTCCGCTATTACTTACATGACATTTTCACAAATAGTATTTCATATAAAAAATATAAATACTACAATAATCTTGTAAATTAGCAAATATAATTTTTCCATGGTAGAGAAAAGGAAATAGGCTTAGAAAAGTTGTGCATACCACATAGATAATAAAGAAAGGATTGTAATTTAAGCATAGGTCCCTGTGTCACCAAAACACATGCTAGGAGTTAAAAGGGGGAAAAATATTGCTATAAATAAGGGAGTAAAACGACTCAGTGGTTGAGGCTTCTAGAAAGACAAAGTTTTTCCATAGTATGTGGAATTCATGGCTTAAGAACATAAAATCCCATGGACAGTAATTACTGAAGATTCCTGTCAATAACATTAAGATCTGTCAGAAGAGAGGTAAGGACATTTAGAAGGGGCAAGCATCAATATGTTTTTTGGGGAGAGGTGAGCATAAAAGGAGAAATATTTAAGGGATTCTGAGGAAAGAACCAAAGAAAAAGTGTTAATGAGTATTGTGGGTTTGTTTTGGGATGGCAAAATGGAAGTCTCAAAGATAAGTTACAGAAACACTCTCAGTGAAAAGAATAGTATGTGAAAAGCATGTAATTGTGGAGTGGCATGATATATTCACAGAACTATAAGAATTTTCCTATTACTAAAACAGAAAAGTGTGAACAAAAAAACACTATAAGGTTGGGGATAGCTTTTAAAGACATGTTAATCCTGAATGTAAAAATATATTTGTTACGTGTTTAGAATGATAATTTGATTTGGAAATATCAGTGATTCATCCTTAAATCTATCTAGAGAGTTAGTAATCTCTTTCTTACTTTTTTGTTTATAAGCAAACAGTAGTTGCTACAGAATCCTGAATGACTCTTTGGGTCATGCTTAAAACATATAAGCCAGAAATTTAGCAATCAGGTTAGGTAGACAGTTTTATTTCTTTAAGGGAAACTTTTTTTTTAATCCAAAGAAAGATTAACTATTGTAACAAGAAAAGCTTCATGTTTGATGGTATAGAGTTAAGAATACCTGAACTTTTACTTATAGTGTCAGAGCGATTTGACTGAAAGATGAAATTGGAGACAGTGTAATGTTATAGGGCACACATCTAAGATACATGCAAAATCTCTCAACAGTTAAGTCCTCCCCTCCCTGTGCCCTGTTTCTTGTTCAAAGGGAACAGTAAATTAGTCAGCAAGAACCTTTCCAGTCCCTTTTTGTGGCAGTAGCAGGTGAGGCAGAGGGCTGATTTTCATCAAGACCAATACCTTTCTACAGCAATGAGAGTGGAATAATAAATTAGGATTGGCCCACTAGTATTAGGAGCAGTAGGGAAGTTAACTTTTAGATCTAAAAATACACACAAAAAAATCAAGTTGATCAGAATGTGAGTTCTCTATATACCAATAATCTAGTGAGACTAAGTAGTAAATATAAGTGGTTTTTGGAAAAAAAAAACAAACAAAAAAACCCAATGCAATCTGCTTTTCTTGCTTACAATGGCAAAGCCTTGCAAACTCACTATAATGGTGGAGGAGGACAGCTTGCTTCTTTACCCAGACACTTACAGAGTTGCATTTTAAAACACATTCATAATGACAAGTATGACAAATCATATAAAAATATATTTTTGTTTTGTACAGTTCTATTAGATGTTGTTAAATTAAAATAATCAATATGTCCTTCATAAGAAGGACAAATATATGAAAAACCACTGGAATAAAAACTTCACATTATGCTAGGCTATTAATTCTGTTTTATTATTACATAGAATAATAGCTTTAGAAAAATATTAAAGACATTATATTACCAAGTGTGGTTCAAACTGAATTTTGTGATTCATACTAGATTTTGTTTTAAATTTAAAATCAATAAAAACTACAAATGTTTAAATAAAAGGATAGATGAGAGAGACCCTTAAATAGACTTAATTCTAGAATAACCTTGGTTAAAAATTATAAAGTGGTTATGTCACATTAGTACTAATTATATACTTAAAATATAATGTTAATTTAAATAGTTAATAGTGATTGGAAGAGTTTTATTTTTAAGCAACATGACTAGATTTGTTTTTATAATGAAGATTTGACAGTAGAAATATGTAGAGATAGTTAGACTGGAGAACAGGGTCACCAGTCGGGTAGCTTCAGAAATTATGCCATGATATGAAAATTAATGGAGTTGTACCTTAGGTATTTGTCTGTTTGTACTGTTTATAAGCTATGGATATTTCATTGCATAAGCCAGAGACCTCCTTGAGGTCTGGGATTTTACTTGCTTTTGTCATTAAGGGCGTAAATGGAACAAAGTAGGTTTGAGTACATCTGTTAGTTTTTCACTTTCCCTCTCTATTCACCTTTTCCTTTGAAAATCATAGCTCAGATTACCTGTGGGTATTTATGTTCTTCTCTCTTATGTTTCTAATAAATTAGCTTGATCCCTAAGCCTGAAGACATGAAGGAGCAAGTATGGGTACACAGATTTGGGAAAATCAGAATATAACCACAACAATTTGTTATGTAATCAGAGCCAAGGAGTGCATTGAGATATTGTTGTGACTTCTAGGAGACATAATTACACTATTTCCTCTAGAATTAAAATGGAACCTGAGAGTATATAATGTACGTTATAATATACATAATATAAAAAGCTATCTTTTACTGTGCTAAGAGTGTTTGCACAAAAATGGAGTCTACCTAAAAGAAAAGGGTTTCATATGTGAAGAGAAATAATTCTGGTAACATCGTTAGATGTCTTGGATCTGATTTTGCATACAGTCTGCCCTACTGATCTTCAGTTTCACTTTCTTAAGTGAATCTGAGTTGGATTTTCTGTTATTACCATCTTAGCTGATACAAAGTTAAGCAATTCACTTGTGTTCAGTGAGCGTTGAATTAATAAAAAAAATTGCTTTGGAGGCTGGAGAGTTGTATTCTTAAATTATTAAGTTATAGGACAGAAATATTTAACTTAGTGTTGATGGGTCTGCATATACTTCTAATAGTTTACTACATGCTCTCCCCCTTCAACTATATGCAAAATTTTGAGAGGGCATGCTGATTTGCATTTCTCTGGGGTGAGGGAACAACATTTTCATCAGGCTCAAAGAATTATCTTGTAACTTTGAAAGGAAAATGAAATGCAGAAAACTATAAATAAGAAATTATCAGCATTTGCATGATACGTATTTATAATCTAAATGACTGTTAAAAACAATTTTCAAACATTTTTAAAATTTGATTGCTAGAAGATATATTAAATACCATCTTACATATTTAGCCTAAATTCAAAGTAAGACCCTTTAAAATATGTTGATTTTTATTCTGAGATATAAGACATTCAGACTAAATTGACTTTAGATTATTATAAAATCAATTATCCCTTAGATTAGATAGCACTGACACTTACAGTTGTGGTGACATATTGACCACCAGCTTTCGACAGATGTAGATACACTTTTTGAAATAGCAACAAATTAAAGATCAAACTGAAAAATTTGATATATAGTAATAAATTTCAGTAACAAATTTAAACTTAATCTAAAAGTATTTTGCATAGTTATAAAATATGTTTCTCACTATCACTGTGACTCTGTCTTATTTTCTACCTAAATAATTTTTGCCACAGTAATTTTCACATAATAGATACGCCACCTGTTTATCTTAATATGTTAGTTTGCATAGGACTCCTTTGGATATGGATTTTTGTCATTAACTTGATTTTGGTTAATACAAACTGCCATTGGAATGTTTATATTAGGATTTTTCTTCATTGCTATTTCACAATATCTGTTTTCAGTTCCAAGACAAAGACTTTTTGTATTAGTCTGTTTTCCATGATGCTGATAAAGACATACCAGAGACTTGGTAATTTATATAGGAAAAAGGGTTTAATTGTGAGGCCTCACAATCATGGCGGAAGGCAAGGAGGAGTAAGTCACGTCTTACATCGATGGCAGCAGGCATAGATAGAGCTTGTGCACGGAAACTCCTGTTTTTAAAACCATCAGATCTCATGAGACTCATTCACTATCACAAAAACAGCAAAGGAAGACCCACCCCCATAATTCAGTTACCTCCCACCGGGTCCCTCCCACAACATAACATGTGGAATTCAAGATGAGATTTGGGTGGGGACACAGCCAAATCATATCACTTCTTAACCAAAGAATTTAAATATCTGGAGAAATGCAATTTGAAGGAGGAAAACACAACTAACAGTAAAATATGCAATTTGAAGGAGGAAAAAAAATTCTCAGTAATCATTTTGTCCTTTAGTGGAAAACAGATTGTATTACAAATTCTACTCAGATTTAAATAACAAATCATTAAGAGATTCCTTTTTGTTTAAATATATTTTTAGAGTATACTTTTTCAGAGAACATAGTTAAACCTATAACATGGTATTTTTAATGTGATACAAGAGATAGTTATCCAAGGTTTATTCTGTTGTGTAAGTAGTGTTGACTGAAGATCTCTTTTCCTATTCCCCCATTTGTAACAGCTCAAAAATTACTTAAAGGTTGGTGGGAGCTAATAAATGAAAATGCCAAGAAAGCCTTTAGGGTATATTAGATAAATGCTTGACTAGTACAATGGACACTTTCCAGGGGGTCTTGATAGATTTCAGGGGTGATGTAAACCAAGTAGAGAAATATATGCTTAGAGAAGAAAATAGAAGATTTTAAGTAAATGCATAAAAACTGATTAGTTCACTTTCATAAACTTTATGAAAATTTACCCATGTAACAGTATTACATGGTTAAATTTAACTCTTGGAAAGTGTGGGATTGACTGTGGCTCTGGGAACCCGAACTCTCCTCTCTCAGGATCCTGGGCCAGTTGAGATAATAATTTTTTCACATCTCATTATGATTCTAAGGAATTTCCTGCAAATACATCCTTGCTAGGGGATCCTAACATACTGACTACAGCTTAATGGACCAGAAAAGATCACATAGCCCACGCGAGTACAATCACAAATGTGTGTAACAAGAGGAATGCTATTAATTTACTGATCCATTTAGATTCTCTCTCAGGAGCTTGAACAAGATAAACACAAAACTGACCAGTGGTCTCGAAGTAGAAAATGAGGGAAGAAAAAAAGAGAAAGACCGTGGGCATATCTGAGTTGTGCTAAAAGTAGATTACTAGAACAGGGACAAGAGCATTTACACTGCTAAGTGGTCAATGAAATAACTCAGGAGTTAGAGATGAGAGTCCATTTTTCTAAATCATATTCCAGTTTCCATAAGCATTGTTTGTCACAGACTTCCATCATGTCTAAACTTCCATTTACAGAATAGGCAATATATCACCAGTTTCATAGGTATTCTGATCATCACCATCCCTTGAAATTTAATAAAACCAAATACCATTCATGGCGACATTCCACTACCCATCGTGGTTGTGGAATGACAGCAGTGAAGTTTTCCAGAAAGGTGTAATCTCCTTGAGGGAAAGAACTGCACTATCTTCTTTTTCAGTACTTAATACGCAGTGCCCAATGCATATTTGTAAAATAAATGTGAGAAATAACTGTGTTCTGGATATGGAAGTTGAAATAGAAAAAAACTATGAAGCCAAAGAAATGAAAACTTGATATTCATGATAATCAAATATGTCAGAGCAATTTTGAATAAGAGACATGCATTGAACATTTTCCTTTAACCAATATCCATAGATCTCTGGTTATGTTACATAATGAAAGAAAATTCAGTATTAAATTGAAAATATTGTTTAGAACTTCCTTAAGACCTGTGTATTGAGTATCCTGGAATTAAAGAACAGAATTGTAGAGTTCATGTTTCCTTTCCCTCTGTTGATTTGTTTTCCTCAATTGCTTTTTTGTTGTCTATGAGTGAATGAAAAAGACACGTTTAATGCATCTTTGTCCTTTCTTGTGGTTTGGTGTTTGCTTGTGGTTGAAGAATCTTGTATTTTCTTTCTGGCTTCTAGAATTACGAAAATAAATTTCTGTTTTTCAAGCCACCCAATCCATTGTATTCTTGTTATAGCAGTCCGAATTTACCCCATTCACCCCAAAAGTAAAATTTATTTTAATAAATAAAACATTATACTCACTTTGATTTTGAAATTGTGAAATATGGAGACTGTTAGGAAAGTTTGGAAAAATGACCATATTTTATTTAAGATAAATAAATCAATATTCTTCCAGATGTTTTTAATATAGCACAAGTACAAAGAATATATTTATTCTTGAAATTTGAGTATTTTAAACTAAATTTATTTCTTGTTATAAGTCTAGCTGTGTACACACATTTGAAAGCTATTTATTTTTCATGACTATTTTTGGTAATATTAGACGATCTTCTTCCTACCACCACTAGCAGTGATATTTTAAACTACCAATAATGTTGATAGGGTTTGTTCCTGTGAGTAGGCTGAAAATTTATCTTCAGCCAAAAGATGATATTACTAGAATCTTAATTATTATTATTTTTCTTTTTCTTTGTCTTTGAGACTTCAGGCATAAAAATCTGTATTGGAATTAATACCTCCCTATGTATTTGGTTTATAATTGTTATATGTATGCAAATTGCTTGCTGTTAGCATCCATTATTTTATTTTCTTTAATTTGTGAAACTAAATTAAATGCTCTTCTTTATTGAATGCATAGATCACAGACTTAGATAGTGCAAATGACCTCCAAAGTTTACAACAAGTGAATATTATGGCTTCAAGCCACTACTACAACTTTACATTGCTTTCTCTCTTTAATCTTCAAAAATAATTGCTATCATATATAGACATACGATTAAACATTACGAAGCTATCATTTATTCTTTTTATATATGCTTGTAATGTATTAAAAAGTATGACTAATCTTTATTCCAAGTTATGCCATATGTATTGCACAACTTCTAGGTATGATGATTCAGGTTTCAGGGTCAACTGCCATTAATCTACTAGTCTTATTCAGAACAACAGATAATAGAGTTGAAAAGGGGAACAATTCTAGATAGCACTGATATACATTGAGAACTGTACAAATACTTTTACCTTGATTTAAGTGAGATATGTAGTTGAATTCAAGTTCAAGGTGACAGTTTGAGACTATTTGCCTGTCCTCTAATCATCCTATACCACCTGTCAGGATCCTGTTTATATAATTGCAAATTACACTTAAATAAGCTAAAGATTCCTGGGTGGAAAAAAGGATGTATCATAAGACTAAATGTTTGGATGATTTCTTTTGGGGGATAAAGCAAACAAAATTACCTAGGCTGAGATCTCCATAGGAAACAAACACTAACTCTAAAACTAATTGGTTCTTTTCCAGGCAGCTCTTCAAAAGATCCAGTTTACAGGCAATAAATACAAAGTGTAAGAATAAGTCATCAGAACAGCATCATTGCCATTAATTTAACACTGCAATGAAAACAGGTGAACCAGTTAATTCCCTACATTCTTATTATATTTAGCTCCATTACTAGCAAGAGCTTCCCCTCTTTATTATAATAGCACTTAAACTTCTCTCTAAAATAAGTAAATAGTCTACCCGGGCGTTTGCCCTTTCAGTGGGATCAGAAAGGCAATTTAAGCACATTTAGAGGTAATCCTGTATCCTCCCAATAGAAAGGGAGGGGAGAAAAGGAAAGAAAAGGCAACTTTATTCAAGATGGAAAGATACTAAGCAACTTGAATCCCAAATTAAGGAGCTTTTCACCCTGGATGTTACACAGGTATTCAAACTGTCCAACGGTTTTCTGTCTACATGCCCCAGAGTAAAAATGAACATCAATCCTCCATTCAACAGTTGTTCGAGAACAGATCTGCTGAACTATGGAAAAAAATACAAGTCAGCTGTTATCATTAAAAGCTAATATGTAAATGGATGATCAGGATCACTAATATGAAACAGGACAAGATGAACTAACAGAAGTCTCCACAGAGGAAATATGAATAATTCAATAAGGAAGAGAAAACTTAAAATAAAACTTTAATATTCTTATTATTTGAGAGGCTATTTTAATCTAGAGTAGGAAAGCGCTGCAAACCAAAAGGAACAATTAAAGAAAAAGTGTCATTGAAAATTAAAATTATTTGCTAAATATAATTATGTGGAGGGACCAAAAAATACAGTTAAGCTGGAAGTCCAGAAAATAAAGTCAAAGGAATAAAGGAATTCTGAGTGAAGACTAAAGATCTCACCACACACACACACACACACACACACACACACACACACACACACACACACGGAGTAGCCCCCTCTTATCTACACGGATATGTTTAAAGACTGCCAGTGGATGCCTGAAAATGAAGATAGTATTGAACTCTGTACATACTATGTTTTTTTTTCCTATACATGCATACCTATACCTATAAAGTTTAAGTAATAAGTTAGGTGTATTAAGAGATTAATGAGAATTAATAATAAAATAAGACAATTATAACAAAATTCCAGCATCACTACTTTTATGCTTTGAGTTCATTATGAAGTAAAATGAGGGTTAATTGAATGCAAGCATGGCATTATGGGTTTCATAACCAAGACAGCAACTAAGTGACTAATGAGCCGGTAGCTAGTACACAGCTAACCCCTGAGCAACTCAAAAGTTAGGAGTATCAACCCACCGCACAGTCATAAATTTACATATAGGTTTTGACTCTTCAAAAACATACCTATTATTAGCCTACAATTATTGATCATAAGCCTTATAGGTAACATGAACTGTCTATTAACACATACGTTTAATGTTATATGTATTATGTACTGTCTTCTTTCAATAATATAAGCTAGAGAATAGAAAGTGTTATTAGGAAAGTCATAAGGAAGAGAAAATATATTTACTATTCATTAAGTGGAAGTGGATCATGATAAAGTTCTTCATCCCATCCTGAGTGGATGGCCGGGGTGATGCGAGATTTCCTTATGCTACTCACAAAGACATGCCATTTAAAACGTATGGATTGGTAAATTCTAGAATTTTCAATTTAATATTTTTGGACCATGGTTGACTTCAGGTGATCAAAACCATGGAAAACAAAACCACAGATAAGAAGGGACCTACTGTTTATATATGGCATAGATTCAGGAGCTCAATCTCTGGACAATAGTAATTTCAGAGTAGAAGAATAAACAATGAAGAGAAAAATAACAAATATTTTTAAGTATAGGGTTGACATTCTTGACATACTGTGATGTAAAGAACACCCTAAAATCTTCCAGAGAAACGGTTAACATCAACATGAACAGAATCATAATTGAAGCAACCTGTCATGAGCAACACTGAATGCTAGAGTTCAAAAGCAATGCCTTCAAAGTTTCATGTGGAAAGTTCTTATGAACATGTTATTATTATCTTATAAATCAAGAGTGATCGTAAATAAATACACTTTCAGACATTCACATAATTAGGACATTTACCAGTGCCCCCACTCTACCTCATGAAAACTGTACAAGACTGTTTGATAAAGCATAGAGAAAAAAATAACCCAAGAATTAGAAAACATGGGGTCATAGGAGCAATGGAAGCTTGGATTGGCCCCCAAAGGAACAGAAAAAGCTAAGAGATAATGAAAGCTTAGGCAAGCTAACCTTGATACGAGCCATATAAATATATATATATATAAAATATGAATATATGTATATATTCATCTTAAAGAATCTATCTAAATGTAAAAGAATCTGTCTAGCATATTTATCTAAATATATATTTTAGATTTAGATTGTATAAATATATATATTTAGATAAATAAATATATACTTATATTTATATATTAGATAAATACATATGTATTTAGATAGTTTATTATAGGTAAGTATTTATATGATCTATACATATTTATATAGATAAATATATATTTAGATAGATTCTTTAAGATGATGAATATATATATGCATGTTATATATATATATTTAGATAGATTCTTCAAGGTGATGAAGCTAGGGCTTGAGTTTATTATTGAAAATTATAAAATTAATCACAAAAGAAAATTTAAAAATAAATTGTTAATAGTTTTCAGCAGCATCATAAAGAGATTCAGGATGATATATTTAACTTTTTCTTTAATATTCTGTTACATAGGATTTTTGAAATCTATTAATATCATGAATGATAATATCAGTAATAAAGATTCAAAAGGATTAAAAATTTATGTTTGCTGTTTACTACATTTACTCAATACATATTTACTGAGTGCCTAACTCAGGTCAGGCATGCTGCTAGATGCTAAGCAGTGAACATACACATTTCTTAGCACTCAAAATAGCAGCATGGTGGTTAAGAATGCAAACTTTAAACTCAAACTGCTTGTGTTTTTATTTCTAATAACTAGTCCTTTTGTGGCGTTTTGGGTTTTTATTTCTATTCTAATAACTACTCATTGTGTGGCATTAGAGTTGAATAATCTGTTTCTCAGTTTCTTATTCTGGAAAAGAGTAACGGTGGCACCTACTTTCTTAGGGTTGTTGTATTACATTAGTTCATGTAAAAAAAGCATTTAGAAGCATGCTTGTCACATGACAACTGTTATAAAAATGCAACCTATTATTCTATCATTACTATCTAATGGGAACAATGTACAATTCTGAAAATATCTACAATAAAGTGAGATGAGCCTATTAATTCGAAATATGTTTTTTCATGAGAACACATATCAGTGTAATGGAACATGTGCCTTCATTTTTAAAGTATTGTTTGTAAGGGAGAAAAAAATAGCTCCTCTTTTAAAAACTAAACACTGAAGTGATGAAGAATGCTGTAGAAATACACTTATCCTGACAGCTCAGAAACCTAGACTCCAGGCACCAAACATATTCTGTGCAGTCATTTACATGAACCATCTGGAATCTGGCATCTGCATTCCAGATTTATGATTTACAGCCTTAGAAACTTTTTAAAAAGCTCTAAACCTTCACTTTTTTTTCACTAAAGTCAACTTATTTTAGGGTGCCATCTTCTGCAATACAATTAAACAGTCGACCCTCCATATCTATGGGTTCTGTATCTATAGAGTCAACCAATTGTGGATGGAAAATATTTGGGAAAAAATGTCTGTACTTAAAACAAACAGAAATTTTTCTTGTCACTATTTTCTAAGAAATATATCATAACAACTATTTATATAGAGTTTACATTGAATTTACAATTCAATTTACAAATTACATAGAATTTACAATAGAAATTTACTATTGTAAATTCTATTTCCATTGTAAATTCTATGTGAAGGTATAAGTAATCTAGGTATTATAAGTAATCTAGACATGAGCTAGTGTATACAGGAGGATGTGCATAGGTTACACTCCTCATTTTATATAAGAAACTTGACCATCCATGAATTTTGATATCTACAAGGAGTCCTGAAACCAAACTCCCACAGAAGGATGTCTTTATATCTTTATTTTTAGGGTTTTTTTCCTGGGTAAATTAAATATTTTCTTTTTTAATTACATAATTATATTTAATGATTGACTTTTGTGCTATACTATCTCACAAACATTAAGAATTATAGTGAGTCTTTTATAATTTGTATTTGATAACTCAGTAGATAGAGTCTTTTCTGTGATAACTTCTGTATTAACTTGGGGCCAGAGAACTGAATTCTTTTTACAAGTCCCTCAATTCAGCAGTTTCGAGTTGGCTTGAACCAGATGACTTCATTGTTGTTTTTGAGACAGGGTCGGTTACTCAGGCTAAAGTACAGTGGTGTGATCTAGGCTCACTGCAACTTCCCCATCCTGGGTTCAAGCAATCCTTCCACCTCAGCCTCTAGAGTAGCTGAGACTACAGGCATGCACCACCATGGCCAGCTAATTTTTGCTTTTTTTTTTTTTTTTTGGTAGAGATGGGTTTCACCATGTTGCCCAGGCTGGTCTCCAACTCTTGAGCTCAAGCAATTCACCTGCCTTGACCTCCCAAATTGCTGGGATTACAGGGATGAACCACCGCACCAGGCCAGGGTTCAATTTTAAAACAGTGAATTCCAGCTATACAGCAAAGCAAATGTTGAGTTAATGGATTCTGAGGCTCCATACAGGACAAAAGATGCCCATCTTATCCAGGTATTTCCTTACCTTGTTCTTCAATAACTTGATTTCAATCTCTTCCTAACCTGATCTTCACACTGCTGCTAGATTAATATTGATTATACATTACTTTCATTGCATCACTTTCATGCTGAAGGACAAGCAGTTTTATCTCAAGAGGAAGCCCAATGTACTCTGCCTCTTAATTTGTTTATAACTAATGTATGCAACTATATCCCATTATTGATTAGCAACATTCTACACTATGTAATACAGAAGTCCAGTTGCCTTCCTGTCTCCACCATTATGCTCATTTTTTTATTTCTGAACTTTTGTTTTTCCTCATATTCTTTGCTGGAATGTTCTCCATTCTGCCTGTCATGTAACCAACTAATATATATCACTTCAACTCTTAGTTCCTCAATATTCCAGGAAAACTTCTTTAACTCTTCTTAATTCTTTTATATAACATCCTCTACTTGTATATGTTATATAATAATAGAACATTTTATTTCCCAACCGAAGTTTACATTCACTGAAACCAAATACTTTGCTCTCATGTGTTTCTTGATAACCCTTCAGAGCATGGTAAACTTATACCATATACTTGTTAACTATAAATTTTTGAGGATGTAGTAAGTTATATACGTAAGTTATTAAGCTGCCACACTGTAGAGAAAATCTTCTTACTGTTTAGTCTGTGGAAAATAAGTCAGTGCAGTTTATATTTTCAATATGATAAGAGCAGGAGAAAAAGTTGTGCATATAGAAAACATACTTTAATATAAGTTGTAGTAATAAGTATATCTCGGTTGTATTTGCAAATGTAGAATGAAATCTGACTGGAAGTGGGGTCTTCTTGGAAGGCAAAAAGGGTTACTTTTGGCACTACCCATGGTAACCAGGACACAAGAATGGACTCAGAGTGGCTAAAGTTCACACAAATAGAAATAGATAACAGAGGACAAATTAATTAACACATAATGAGTAATATCACTGTCACATGGATGAATATCAGTAAGTTTTATATGATTAGTGAATTTCCTCCTTTTGTCTCTTTACTTGAGAATGCCAATCATAAGCAGAAGTTACATGATGACTTTTCTTTGAAAATGTATTACCACATTAACTAGATATGTTTAAGTCTATATTAAGAGACATGTTTAAAGTCTATACTAGTAGCATAATTTATCTATATAGTTGCACCTTTATGGGAGGCAAAAGTTATGTAGTGAGCATGGAATTAGAACTGGGGTAGCTAGATGACTCAATCATTCAATGGAATAAAATATTTACAGTTGTTGATTCTAATTGCTAGATTCATCTCCATATCAGGGATTTCCTTTACGTTAAAATTTTCAATATTGCACATGAATGGATAAGATTCTGTAGCCCATGGCAGCGCTTAGATATAAACTAATTTTATTTGCCTTTTTATGTTTCTACGACCAAGCAACATCTTTTTTCACAAACAGCATTTTATTTCATGTTTTACTGTAATGACCAAACCTCACCATAATATTGACCGTAAGAATAATAATGGGCAACTTTTTATTCCCACTTTAATGAGAATGTCTCCCAAATTTACTATTAATGTAATACTATTACTTCTTTTGTTTTGGCTCTGCCCTTAGAAGGCATTGAGACATACTGCTGGGCCTAGCACTAAGAAGATGGGAGTCCTCTGCCTGAATCCTAACTAAAGGGAGCATTGCGACATATTTCTTGACCCATTACAATGCTTTTAAAATACATATCTGCAATATTGCTTTTTTATATATTTAAACTGTCTTTGAATTGAAAGTATAAGTCTCTTGTATGTAACATTGCTTAGTACACTTGTTAAATGTAGATTTTATAGTTTAAACTAAATGGCTCTCCACTAATTTTTGTTTGAACAAAGTGCAGAATCACTGTAGAAAAAGATAAAGGTAGGATTGCTAATATAGGAAAAAACCAAATACCATTAAATATAAGGATACTGTACTAAAATCAGGTGTATTAAGTGAGAATGAATGAGAATGTATGTCTAAGGCTTGATATTCCTCATCATTTTCCCCTTTGGGTTTACAGAATGCTGGCAGCTAGAGTTACACTCTCCAGCCAGGAAAGTGGAAGAGACCTCTCTGGAATTCTTTTTTTTCTTAGACGGAATCTCACTAGATCACCCAGGCTGGAATGCAGTAGCACGATCTCAGCTCACTGCATCATCCACCTCCCAGGTTGAAGCAATTATCTTTCCTCAGTCTCCCAAGTAGCTGGGATTACAGGCAGGCACCACCACACCCAGCTAATTTTTGTATTTTTAGTAGAGATGAGGTTTCACCATGTTGGCCAAGCTGGTCTCGAACTGCTAACCTCAGGTGATCCACCCACCTCGGCCTCCCAAAGTGCTGGGATTACAGGCGTGAGCCACCGCGCCCAGCCCTCTCTGGAAATTTGAATAGCCTATGAGAAATACCTAAAAATAATGAGATGTTTATGTCCCCAGTGACAAAGCTGAGCCAGGTTACCCCCATGATAAACCCCATAGTTGACAAGGTTTACTTATGGATGCAGAATAGAATCTATAAATAATTGTGTTGGCATTTTGATCTCTCTCTCTTTTTTTTTTTTACAGGAATATAACATAGTTAATATTTAAATATCTAAGATCTTGTCATTTAGAAAAATGTTGCCCCAAAACTTTGGTATACATTTTGCTGATTTATAAACTGTATACATTACATGACATGGATAACAGGATCCCAGGATTTAACAGTTACCTCTCAATTATTTTTATAAAACTTAGTAGTATCAATATTTCTGGAAGCCTGTTCTACCAAGAAACATGAAAATAAATAAACATTTAGTAAATGTTAAAGAATACATTTTTCTCAAATATTTTCTCTCTCAATTCTCAAGATAATATTTTTGGACAATATAGTTTATTTAACTATATTATCTATTATATATATACATTCACTTTTATATTTTTATATTTCATGCTTCAAAAGATTAGTAGAGTGAAAAATATTAAAAATGCCACTTTAATCTTGATAGAAAATATGTGTTGTTCAAGAAAATAGCAAGTTTTCCCATTATAAAACAATACAACAATTTTATAAAAAAGAAAAGTAAATGAAACAGTTTTAAATATTCAATGATTTATTCAGTGATGGTAACATATAAAAGACTCTCTTCCCACAAAATTGCGTTTTTTTCCATATTAAATGTAATATCCTACAGGGTCTTAATTTTAATCGATCATGCCATGTTAGTGTGATTAGTTTCCACAATCTTATTTTTATTTTATAGAAGTCTTGACATATGTATGTTAGGCTTATTAAGTTTACCTAAAGTAAATTATTCTTGGATGCCCAGTTTTTAATTTGGAATATACACGGAGTATTACTATAGCTAGACTTACACAAAAGAAACAAAACATCACTTTTGTATATAACCATGTCTATTTTTTTCAGTAAATGCCCACATGTTTACCAAAAATCTTAGGAATTCTCTGCATAATATTTGTTTCGCTAAACAAATTTTTTTATGCTCCTGGATATTAGAAGAACAAGCTTAAATATTTTATCTATTAATTTATATTTATTTTTTCAGAAAATGATTTAATGTGAGAACATATACTTCTAAGGATTTAGATCTAGATAACCTCGATAACCTCTACCAGTTCCTTATAGCTGCAGTTTCCCCACACATCTACTCCTCAGCAGAGAGGGATTTATTCTCTTCTTAAACTGTTATGGGAAAGCCACATCTGAACCATGAATATTTTTCTACTTAGTATTTCATATGTTCTTTTTTAAAATGCCTGATAAAATGAAAGCTGAGTAAGGCTAGATTATTCTCTCTCCAAAGAACATTAGGAAATGATACATGTTCCTCATTCAAATTTTAACTCTCCTCAATTCTGAGGTCTCTGAGAGCAATTAATCTTGTATTTCACATTCATAAAATTATTTTTATGTCCTGTATAAATTTCACAGTCTACTTGACTCCTTCTCTTCCCCCCATGAGAAAAGAATGACCCATTTAAATCTTTAAATTAATAATTGTTAATATATAAATATATCTAATTTTCTGCTAATGTGGGAACAACTCACATCTCACTCTGGAGCAACATGTATGCTAACAGACATTGAGAAGGGGTAACGCACAGCAGAATGGCTAATGCACAGCTTTTTAAAACCTCTCCTATGTGAATTTATTTTTTTACTATAAAAAGTCTACTCATGGTTGTATTGAAAAATATATCAATGCAAATTTATAATCACTTGTTATAAGGAAGTATTTGAAATATGTAAAATTTTTAGTAGAAAAAATACAAAATTGAAAAAGCTTTTGTTAAAATGTTAGCTAAGTGTGTTTCTATGTCCTATAATGCTATAACTAACATTATATTTTCCCATTGTGTCCAACATTAAAAGCTACACTATTTTTATTCCCATTTTATAAATGAGGATGCTAAAGCCCATAGATCATCGATTAATTGCAAAAATGTCACCCAATTGTAACATATTCAATATAGTACTGGAAAGATCAATTTTCCATTCCAGAATTCAGCCGCAATTTCCATTTCTTGAAAAATAAATTTACTTCTCTTTCTCACTGTGACAATCCTTAACTTGTTAGTCAGAGTACTTATTGTCTATATTTAAAGGGAGAGAGATAGAAAAGCAAACATAAATATGCAGATGTTATAACTAGGAATTCATATAAACTCAGTAATCTTTAATTTTAGTAAAAAGGACTACAGATGCAATCATTGTTATTTAATGGTAATAATTGAATTTTAATATCGATTAAGACATAGAAAAACATCATTTTAAAATAGAAAAATATAATTTTTTCTTTTACCTTTGGGATTTTGCAGTTCATTCTGTTTCCCGCATCCACTTTCTAAAATAAATGCACCATGCTATTTGAAGGTGAGAAACCTTGACCCTGCCCTCTAAAAGCTCATAATTCTTGATGAGAGGGAAGGGAAATAGCCTAACTATGTCCTCGAATATGCCCTTTCTACCATCTAATTATCTTGAACATTCATGCATTTTCTTTCCCCATCTCTCATTATTAATGTTTTCCTGTAAAACAAACACAGTATTTTAATATTGTTTACTCTCTTTTTATTGTTTGTTAACACAGAAAAACTATTATATATATTATTCTACGTTATACAAAATGAAATCATTTTAATGAAAAGGCTCAAATATTTCTAGTCCTTAACTTATAAACCTTAGTGGTTACTAGATAAACAGGTTGAGGGTGGGATCTTAGTGCTTGGGAAATCTACAGATAAAATTAAGTTGTCTTTCTCCACAGCACCTCAGCACCACATAAAACCCAAAATATCCTTCACTGATGGCATATTTTGAATGCCAGCCATTAATCTAAGCAAAACAATGTCATTTTGATTAGTGCAATATGAAGTCGGAATATATTTCCAGGCAAGTGAATTCATTATATTATCAAAGGCCAACAAATAAGTATGCTAAGAAAGCTTAATTGAAGTCACCCAACACATGAAAATAAAAACACAATTAAGATACAGATAGTGCAGAAAAACTCATGATGAAAAATTGTGGTGGTGAATGCTATAAAACATAGGGATTTTCCAGGGCCCAATGCTAAATACTGTTAGTTTACATAGTCAAAATTGTTAACAAAATAATTTTGGTGGTAGTATATTTTCTAACACTATATTTCTACCTATCTATCATCTATCTATCTATCTATCTATCTATCTATCTATCTATCTATCTATCTATCTATCTCAATCATCTATCATTTATCTACTTATCATCTCTCTCAAACTGAAAACGATGGAGAAATATATCTATGCATTTTATCCAGAAGTACTCCATGTCATAAATTTATTCTTCATGCTCGTGATCTTATGGTTCTAAAGAGTATCAAAATTTTGCATAACTAGGTAATAGTAAATGGCAGAAATTGGTGTTCTACAGGCAAAATCACTAGCAAAGAACTTATAGTAGAACAATGTTGGGTTTTGGACTCCTTACAAGGTGTTATGCCTGCTATGGGCACACATAAAATGACTTGGTAAGAATATTCTAGGGATGGGGCTTGTGTATCTCGATTCTAGGCACAATTCAAGGAAGCAGGGATTTGCGTTGCATTGGATGGCATTAAGTGGCAAGGATAGTTCTATGATTATCTTCACTCTTGTCTAGAAAGTGATGGTAATTGAGTGAAGCTAAAACGGCAGTTGTTAATCAAGAAACAGTCACGCATTTTAGGCAAGACATTGTTCAGATTTGTTTGTGGTTTGGACAATGAATTGTTTGTCTGTGTAGTCTTCTTTTTTTGTCTTGTTCCATCATAGTCAGAGAATAACCTTGTCTGGTGACGTTTTGTGAAATTGTTTCTATTCAACAGGATAAGATCTTTGTCTAGTTGGGAGGAGGGCTTGCAGCACAAATGGAGCCCTAGTTATTCATCAGCTTGTGGCTATCAGAGTCTGGTTTTCTTTTCTCTTTCTCGCAGATTTTCTCAAATTTTATTCAAATCTCACTCTGCCATTGTCTTGCTCAAAACTTCACACAATAAATGGCATTAAATTGCTGATATCAAATCTACACACTGATGAGTCACTAATCTTTCTCAGAGGGAGTGCTCTTCTGAGGGGATTGTGACAAGCTTCTGAAAAGAAAAGTAAGATGGAAACATAACAATAACTATGTCTTGTTTTAAACCATTAAATCTGTAGTAATTTGTTATGGCAGCAAAAGATAACTGATGCCGTGGGCTTTGTACAGCACTTTAGAATGCTTAACATTTTCTGGTGATATGAGTGGTTGTTTGTTTTCTGTCAGGAGGAATATGGCTATGCAAAATGTGTTGGTCACTTCTTTAAAAATAGTTCGTGCATTTTTTGAGAACAAAAGCCATATTATACATAGAACCTAAAACAAGGTATTCAACTTGGAAGAAACTCAGTTCATATTAATCAAGTGAATGAAAACAGAGAGGAATAAGATTAGTGGATATAGCCTATATCTACTGTCTTTAAGACAACAGAAAGTGAAAAGATGTTTTGGGACTTCATTATGGGGAACAGTAAAATTTGTCTGATGCATTCCTACTGAGTTCTTGGCTGGATCAACATAGTGAACCAGAAAAATTTAATGTATAAATTTTGGTGACACTTATGTATGTATCATAAGTTGTTATAAGAAATTCAATGTTGAAAATGTGTTTTCCTACTAATTTTAGCATAATTTACTGTAAGTGCAAACATTGACTAAGTATGTATATGTAGATGTGTAGAGTGTAAGTAATTAGATATTTCTAAATTTCATAATGAATTAGTTAATGTTTAAGAAGAAACATTCAGTTTTATTGACAAAATATTTTAAGATGAGAAGAAGATCAAAGTGTACTGAGAATAAAGAGAGACTGTGGTCAATGTTTTTTGATTAACATTGCAAAGAAAATTAGAGTCAAACATAAGATAATACGCAGTGAAAAGATTCCTTGTTGCAAAATTCCAGATGGTCTGACAATTTAAAAAATATATACTGGTTTTGAGACACTTCTCCCTTTCTTCCTTTTGTATTCATTTCTAATGTGGAAAGAGCTACTTACTGCTCAAGGATTATGGGTAGCAACTATTGTTTTATTCTAACAATAGATGTTATCTAATAAAATTCAGATTCAGTTGAAGAAATTACATTTTGAAATTCAATCTTTTCTCTATATTAGTACTATTGAAATAAGTTCTTTTTAAAAACATTATTAGTCCATAAAATATATGCTGGTTTTATTGTTTTTTCTAACTCAAGAAACTAGACTATTCACTATCTAGGTTAATTTACATTGCAAACCTTCAAGTCCGTGTAATTATTCCACTCTTCAAAATTATATAAGGGCACATCTGACGTCTCTATAGGAACTGGCAACGTAGGTGTTGCCTTCATACTATTATTTTCTTAGTGATATTTCCTCTAACACGTGGAAATGTTGTATAAGATGAAGGAATAACTTTGCTTTGCCCATTTCTCAAGGATAAATGGAAGACAATGCTAACACATGGATTGGCATTTGAAATATAGGTCAATTACCGTAAAATTATTGTGTAATTTATAACATCCTTTCCAATAATGATCAAATAAGATAAAGCAGAATAATGATTAGGTAGGAATAAACTTAGTTTCAGTGTAGCCAAATGATTTTTTTTTTCTTTCAAAAATACATATGTGTTTTTTTTTCAAGAGCACTTGGGTTGACACCAGCCAAGTGTATTCTAGGTAAATTATTTTTTCTTGATTATATGGAAAATAAAAATATTTCATGAGGATGACCTACTTAATACCACTCTAGAACATGGGGTTAAAGTTATTTTTACATAGAGAGACTACAAAAGGTACTGGATCTGTAGTTAACCTGATCAATAGAAAGTTAATTCCTAGTATTTCCTGGTTCATTTTGTAAGTAGTTTTCACTACAGCTTCTAAAAGTATTTACTTACTTTGCTGTTCTATGTCAAAACCCAGTCTTTCTTCCTCATGAAATCTTAATAATAGAAGGAACTTTTCCATGAGACAGAGTTGGGCTTGACAAACAGCTCTGCATGACTAATTGTGAGAGCCTGGTAAATATCTTGTAAGTTTTATTTTGCTAGTTAGAATCTCAAAGTCATTGGCTAGCTAAATGTAGAATGAGAAATATATGTTAAGTGTTTAAGTTATGTCTTTCCTAGTAAGCACTTAATCAATGAAGGAGGCCACAGTTACTAGTACTGTGTCAGAATCAATTTCTTGGTTCACTATCAAGATAATCTGAATTTTTTTACATAGGTTCTTCTAAGGTGGTATTATCCTGAATTTCAACTCATGATCAATTTTTTGAGAAACCATTGATGTCACTTGCCTGCCATGCTTTGACAGTTTATTGAGTGTCTGCTATGTGCTAGATTGATTTAGATGAATTAATAAAGTATTATCCTCGTAAAACTGAAAAAAGACAGTTCCATTTGACAATATATTGTATTGTGTAATCAATAGTCTAAGATAAATTTGTGGAATTATAACATGGCAATCAGTAACTAATAATAGCCTCTCTGATACCTCCAGCCTTCCTTCCCATAACTCTTTTGTTTCTCTGGTGCCTGCAAACCTTTGACTCTCTATCTCTTTGGTTCGTTATTTCTAGTTCCAAATATAAAAGTCTCAGGGTCTACCACAAATTCCTAGTTATTAAATCCATCATAAAATAAGTATATTTCCATTTATCCTATTAATGCTCAGGGTATTTATACCTTATATAATTTTTATTTTAAAAAAGCAGTTTAGGCCGGGTGCAGTGATTATGCCTGTAATCCTTGCACTTTGGAAGGCCAAGGTGGGAGGATGGCTTGAGCCCAGGAGTTTGAGACCAACCAGGGCAACATAGTGAGACCCTGTCCTTACAGAAGTGCCTGCCACATAGTAAGCTCTCACACATGTTAGCTATTATTCAAATATGACTTATTTGTAGGTTGGCTGTTTTCATTACTATGAGAATATCAGGTACAATATAAAGTTAAAGATAAGATTATTAGTAAAACTGATAATTTTCTAAACAAAAGGCAAAAATCATGAAAAAATATTGGGTCAAATTAGAGCCTTTTAAACTGAGAAGATTCTGACAAGTACATGATGTACTGAACTTTTAGAGCAAGTTTTTCTAAGTAATAATGGTTTTCAACAAACTCTCCACTTATTGATTGTATCTATACAACTTTTGCAAGAAAAATGAAGTTAGATTTTTATGACTTCATTTTGAGGTTGGATAGAGAATGGGAAGGTAGAAAATGTAATGTGCTATTTGTGATATTTCACTAAAGAAGAATTATGGTTGACAGATGATGCTATGCCAAGGAACAAAAATGTAAGACAATTAAGGTAAATACATAAGTGTTATGTCTTAGCTGGAGGTTAAGTGGAGGTTAAGACTGGCTTAGAAAAGAATAGCTTTAGGTACAGTAGGAATTTGGGAACCAATCAAAAGTCATCATTTATGGCATTAGAAAATAAATAGCATGACAAATGAGTAAATCAAATAATAAAATACTAGAATATGGAAGAAAATATATATTTCTATATCTTCTAGTTTTATTCTTTTAAACTTAAATATATATTAAAAATTCCACACACAGTGGAGAAAAACAAAAACTAATGTATTCATTTGAACTAAAGATTTAGGGTGGCTATTTTATGTAGTTAAATCAAAATAAATCAATAAACCATTATTTTTATACAACCCCAACCCTCTTTGAATACCACTATTAATCTTGAATTAATTTTCTCTTACAATTGTTATAACAAGTAACAACATTATTGGTTTTTATATCCCAAATCCTATTTTTAAAAAATATAAAGGGCAATGAGAAATATATTCTCTACAAATCAATATTAAGGAAAGAGATTAAAGCCATATTTCATTTATACAACCAAATAACAAGATTGACTATTCCCTATGAGAGTGCAAACAAATCTTCTATAAAGAGTAACATAAAAATAGTAATTTTTGCTTCCTTGCATTCTATGGCCGTAACTCCTTTTATTATATGTTTAATCACTGGTTTTTATTACTAAAAATTTCATAGGCACACTGTAAAGTCCAAATGCAATAGGACTATTATCCTACAATGTATTCTGGACAATAAATGCATTTTCCTAAGACTTCACCGTTGCATAATATTCATCCTTCTCTCACCTCCTAAATATGCACTAGGTCCTATCTGCTCTAAACTTCTTTCTTTTGTGACTTCACCTTGACTTATTTCACTTTTTAGTTTTGTGCCAGTAGACCTCAATTACAGGCTCCAAGCCTTTATCTCCAGTCCAGTGAGAGAGCTAGAGGTTATTTCACTAGAAAATCTTATTGTAAGTTCATATTGCATCTGTTCAAAATGAAGCTTATATTCTTCCTTCTACTGTAACATTCACACTTAGTTGAGACCACATTCAAGTTAAACGCCTTACTATATACATAGTACATTGCATTTTTTGGTTGTTTCCTACTACTGTAGAAATATTTAAAGTACTTACTTTTGGAATATCAAGATTTTTTTTCAGCTTTAGAATCTTTTTTGGGGGGAGGGATTGAGGATAGAGTTTATGTCTTGCTTTTGATCATTTACTACTTTCCACTGCCTGATATTCATTTTCATCAGAAATGAGTCAATAGATGGTGTATTAGTCCGTTCTCATGCTGCTAATAAAGACATACCCGAGACTGGGTAATTTATAAATGAAAAAGGTTTAATAGACTCACAATTCCATACGGCTGAGGAGGCCTCACAATCATGGCAGGAGACAAAGAATGAACAAAGTGGTGACTGACGTGTTGGCAGGCAAGAGAGCTTGTGCAGGGGAACTCCCACTTATAAAACCATCAGATCTCCTGAGACTTATTCACTACCACGAGAACAGTATGGAGGAAACTGCCTTCATGATTCAATTATCTCCACCTGATCTTACCCTTGACATGTGGGGATTATTACAATTCAAGGTGAGATTTCGCGGGGCAGGGGGAGGGACACAGCCAAGTCATATCAGATGGGTGAGGTAGAATAAGAAATATTGGAGTACAATACTGGTAAGCAGTTCAGGCAGATGATGCTTAGACTGGAATTTTTAATTACAAGCGTTAGAAGAGGGCATGGTTATTTGGAAGACAGAAAAAGAGATTCACAGTACGGATACAAATTCACGGGAAGAAGAAAATGGAAGACAGTAAGAAATATTAAGGAAAGTTCTAAATGTGTTCTAAAAAGTAACACACATTAAAAATATTGGACCTGAAATTTAAACCTAGGTTTTCTTGACTTCTAAATCCTTACCTTATCTATTTTAAAGCATTACCTCTCATCAACACAAGTGTGTCCAATGAATTAGGTAACAAATTCCCATAAGTTAAGACAAATTTAAAATTAGAATTCTAAAGGAGTTACATATAACCTGAACTTTGTTTATGCTTAAAGCCTTATTGCCATATCGCCAAATACAATGAGTTCTGTCTGTTTCCTTGTCCATATTATGAGTAAAATAAAATATTCAAAAGTATCAAATTTTATGCGAGCAAACATAAATATTAAATATTACCATACCTTAATTTGCTAAATCATCCGAAGTTCTCACATGGTCTATTACCATTTTTTGTAGTTATTATTCCTTATCTACTATTTGTTGAAAACTACTTTCTACAAACAAGAAAAGACAGTTCTTATGACAAAGATCATGAATCATCAAATTTTAAAGTGTTGACTTTTATTGCCATAGGATCCTAAGGGATAAATTATTCAGTACTAGATAGTTGCTAGTTTTAAATCACTCTATTATCGTCTCCTTGTAAAGAGGATTGGACCAATCCATCTTTTCATCTCAAAAGAATTTTGTGACCCTTTTTACATAATGAAAGGCAAGGCAAATTAATTATATTGGCCTCTTTTTCATAGGTTCATATGCTTATTACAGTACTCTGGATCTTACTACTTCAACAGTGTTAAGGTTAAAAAGGCCAAAATATGTCTCTACTCCACCCCAATGCATGCACAAAGTTTCATCAAAAGGGAGGAAGGAATCTGTTTTTTATTTTACGTAGATCTTTTTGTAATTCTATTAATCTGTGCAAGGATGTGAGAGAGGGTTCTACTTGAGGGAGACAGTCTCCAGAACCATCCAATAGGTAGATTTCCAGGAAAAGGCAAAAAGAAGAGCTTCTGGGGAGCTCTCAGAGAAAATGTTCAAAGCAAACTAAGATAATTGAGCTGTTCTATTTATAATCCCCTTAACTTTGCCTCTAAAAGCTACCTCCTCCAGCATGGAAACCCACTTATGTATTTGGCATTGACCTTTATCAGCATTCCTGAAGTTTGGGAGTCCTATAAAATATGAATTTCAATGAAAGAAATTAAACTCGAGCTCCACACAAAGGATAGATCATGTAATAATTAACGCATATTGCTGGCAAAGTTATGGTTGAAAAAATAATTCTAGGTGACTAGATGTTATTTATCTCTTTCATATGCCTCTTCTTTTGATTATGTGAAGACTGTTTTATATACTTTAATAATATTAGCTGTTTTCGTACCATTTTCATGAAAAAGCTTTAATATTTGTAGGCATCCAGAAATAAATTTTGGCCTATTTAGATCCTTGGCAATTAAGTAAATTGTATGATAATTTTTTTCTTCTAGAATCTGAATTTCCTTTATGTTTCAATTTTTCTTCAAATTGTTTTCCTTTTAATATCATTAGACATTCACCAATAGTATTTGAATCAAATTAATATTCAGTACTTAGCCCTCAGTGAATACATACTTTTCATTTTCCAACCTTAACTCATATTACTAATATCAAAATATTCAGATGTTTCCCTGAATTCTCAATAATCACCTTATGTTTTAAATAATCTTCTGAGATTGGACACTGTATAATTTACTTTCCTAGAAAGAGGCATGGCAAATGAGAAATGAAACAAGACAGTAATTAAGACAGACTTTCATTTTACTGTCATTGGCAGTTAAATGTGACAGTTACAGTGAATACTTCATAACAAGCTGTTCCCTAGACAGTGAGATTGACATTTGTAAATAGCTTAAAGATAGTGAGTAGAGATTTTATGATTGGATGACTGATAAAATAGCAGTAAAACTTATTCTAATGATACCCTTATGCCCTCAATGTTATGCACTGTGGCACTACTTCTAATCCTGATTGTAAAAGGCCAGTGAAGTTCATGTCATACTGAAAATGATTCAATGATACAGCACCTGAGTATACATACTATAGTCTTCAGAACCGCTTTATCTGTTCTTATTGTCCTATAAGTATCTAAGAATAAAAGGAGGCTCAACTATTATAATTATTTGCCTAAGCCTATTCTTTCTTGGCCTGGGGATTATTAGACAGAAAGGAGGGCAGAAGTAGAAGAGAGAGGGCCAGAATTCATAATTATGCACAACAAGGAGAAGGAACAAAAATGCCAGATAATTTACCATAAGGGATAAAGTTATTTGAAGGGACTATTTAACTCATGAAATTGAAACGAGTTGCAGATTGATTCATTTAAAAAATACATATTGAGAGCCCACTGTGTGTCAGGTACTGTTTAGGTGCTGAAGGTACAGAGCTAGTTGAACAAACTCTGCCTTCATGGGGTCTATCATCTAGTGCAGGAAGACAAGCACAGGCTTTATTGTCTACCCTACATTGTTTTGTTATGAATTTTATTATTCATTGTTTTTGATTGAAAATCAGGTTTTTTTGTCTCTAATTCCAAAGATACTCTTGTTTAAAAAATTTGGAAAAGACAATTAAATATAAAAGAGGAAATTGAAAGTACCTATAAGGCATCACCTAGATTTAAATGCTATTAGTATCTCAATGTATTTTTTCAAATATTTGTGTAAGGAGGATATATTCAGTAGGTTAAAGTAAAATCAAATTCCATGTACAGTTGTTTTATGTTTTCCCTGTTTTTATTGAATATTATCTGATTCGTATTTTCTTATGTCACATACCTGCTAGAACCTAAAACTCTGTGAGGGCAAGTAAATTTGCTTATATTTTCATTGATGAACTCTTTGATCATCAATAGTATTGAGTACACATTGCACATTTAAAACATATTTGCCAAATAGGTAAAATACCTAAACTTTTTGAAAGCATAATTTTAATGACCATTGTTAAAGATGATATCAAGTTTTTACTCTCCAACAAAATTTATTCTCTTGAAAAAAAGGAAGATTTTCATACAAAAAAAATCTTTTAAGGAGTATTCTGAAATAATCTAGCCCCTTCAAACTCAATGCAAGATAAGCTTATCATTTTTAGGGGGTAATCGAAATTTCCAATTCTCTGACCATTATTGTTTCTCTTGGTGACAGTATTTCTCTAACAGGTAATAATATTTCTTAACAATTATAATTAATTTTGGGGATAGAAATCAAACCAGTTTGTAGTGTATAATTAGGTTAGTATTAAAAAAGTCACCTCCAGTTCTACTCCTTAATTCCTAGACTCATGAAATCACATGATATGAGAAATGACAGTTATATAGTTTAGATTTATGTCCACACCAAAATCCCATGTTGAAATGTAATCACCCATGTTGGAGATGGGGCATGCCAGGAATTGGATCCTGGGGACGGATTTCTCATGAATGCTTAAGTACCATCCTCTTGGTGCTGCCCTCATTATGGTGCGTGATTTCTTATGAGATCTGGTCATTTGAAAGGGTGTGACACATCCCCCTCACCCTCTTGCTCCTGCTCCCACCATGTGACATGCCTGCCGCCACTTCACCTTCCACCATGATTGTAAGCTTCTTAAGATCTCCCCAGAAGCTGTCAGAGCTATGCTTCCTACAAAGACTGCAAAATCATGGGCCAATTAAACTGTTTTTCTTATAAATTACCCAGTCTCATGTATTTCTTTATAGCAATGTGAGAATGGCCTAATACAGGCACCATATGTTATTTGCTGATTAGGAACATTACAAGCAATTTGGAGTTCCCCAGTAACTCAAAGATTTCATTTCCTAGATCTTCAGTTGATAATTCTATGATTCTCCAAGAACAACTGTTTTCTAAATCATATAATATATATTATATATGAATATGTTAATTTGAATAAATGGAAGATGCTGTAGATTTAAGCATGGTGGGTAAGAGAAAAATCCAGACAATGACAAATTACTATCTGCTCCATAATACACGTTGTTTACTGGAACCAACCAGTCTTTGTTAGCTTTGGTAATAAGAATTCTGTAACTGCATTGACATTTTCTTAGCTTTTATCTTGCCATCAAGGCCACATTGAGGCTTTTTAGGAAACACTGAACTGTCTGGTGAAGGAGGCTGACTCTTTCTGTAAAGCAGGTTTTCTTGACTATTTCATGAAAACCTCCTTAGATAATTTGCCCATTCAAAGAAGTCTATTCATGAATTCTGTTCTTGTTTTTCCCTAAATCCCCGACCACCCCAAACTATTAATCTGTCTTTGAGAATCAGTGTAGTATCAGCTGGTCTCTCTTTCCAGACTAAATTAATAAAGTGTTCTGCTCTGAGTTCTACACATGAAGGATTTCCATCTTCTGCTTCCATTCAGGATCAAACCTAAGAGAGCCTGTGATGCTGAAATATTTCATGAAGACTTTCCCGTATGACACAATAGCATTGAAATCAGGCCTGTGTTTTTCATCTTGTGTCAAATAATAATAGGAAACTCTTTTCAAGGCTACAGTAAGAGTTGAAACAAGATTAGCAATTTGGCAAAAGATGGCACATGGCTAGGGTGAAAAACTGGTTCATGCAACACAACTGTGCATTCCAGACCTAATCGGGCCACAAACGAAATTTAATATTATACTAGAGGTTGGGCTTTTGAGAATGTACAATGATACGATGAAGTGGATGAGACAGACCAGTAATGGAGGTGAAACGCAGGTTGTGTGGTTATTTGAGTTTCTACTGATAGTCATGTTATCTTCACTAGAGCCTAGCAGCAAAGTGATACCAACTTCTTAAAGGAAGAATAGTTATTTACTGGACTTAGATGTCTTTTAGCTTTGCATCAAAATCCAGAGACCTCTCATCCTAGTCTCCTGTTGAAATTTGCCTTTATAAAGTCCTCATATCTGCTGCAGAAATTTTAAATTCCATTGGTTTCTCCTGGTCATAATAGCCACTGTCAGAGACACTTAAACCATGAACTGTACCAGCTGAAGACTCTTCTATTTTGTGTCCCATGAAAATATAGCTGCTATTAGAGTTACCTTGGAAAATCATGGATGAGAATATCTAAGTGTATAAAGTGTGACTCCCGAATTTGAAGCAGCCTGCCAAATAATTTTCCTTCTTAATGGCGGGGGATGCAGGCGATAGAAAAGCGTCTATTATTACCAAGTCATATTTTTCCTCCTGGAATGCTGTACACCTCAATGAATTTTATTTCGTACCATTCTCTCATACATCTCTCTTTTTAAGTCATGTAAAGGTAAATGTTGCTTTCTTCTCTCCAGGTGTTCTCAGCAAAATGTTGTCAATACAAGCATACCTTGGAGATATTTCAGGTTTGGTTTCAGACTACCATAATAAAGCAAATATTGCCATAAAGTGAGATACACAAAATTTTTGGTTTCTCACTGCATATAAAAATTATGTTTACACTATACTGTAGTTTATAAAGTGTGTAGTAGCATTATGCCTAAAAATGTACACACCTTAATTTAAAATACTTTATTGCTAAAAAATGCTAATGATCATTTGAGCCATCACTGTGTCATAATTGTTTTGCTGGTGGAGGGTCTTACCTTCATGTTGATGACTGCTGACTGATAAGAGTGGTGGTTGCTGAAGGTTGGAGTAATTGTGGCAATTTCTTAAAATAAGACAACAGAAGATTGCCACATTAATTGCCTCTTCATTTCACAAATAATTTCTCTGTAGCATATGAAACTGTTTGATAGCATTTTACCCACAGTACAACTTCTTTCAAAACTGGGAGTCAATCTTCTTAAACCCTGGTGATGTTTTATCAACTAGGTTTATTCTAAATCCTTTGTTGTCATTTTAACAATGTTCACGGCATCTTCACAAGGAGTAAATTCCATCTCAAGAAACCACTTTGCTCATCTATAAGAAGCAATTCCTCACCCACCAAAGTTTTATTATGTGTCTTAGTCTGTTTTCTGTTGCTTATAACAGAATACCTGAAACTGGGAAATTTATAAAGAAAAGTAATTTATTTCTTACAGTTACGGAGAACGAGAAGTACAAGTTTAAGAGGCCACCTCTCGGGAGGGCCTTCTTCCTGGTGGGGACTCTGCAGAGTCCTGAGGTAGCACAGAACATCACATGGTAGGGGGGATGACAGTGCTAGCTTAGGTCTGTCTTCCTCTTTTTATAAAGCCACCAGTTCTATACCCATTAATCCATTAAATCACAGATACATTAATTCATTCATGACAGCAGAGCCCTCATAACCCAATCACCTTGGAAAGGTGCCACATCTGGGAATAAATTTCAACATGAGATTAGTAGAGGACAAATATTCCAGTCATAGTATGTGGCTCCAGACCCCCGTAATTCATGCCTTTTCACATACAAATACACTCATTTCAACTCCAATGGCCCCAGAGGTTTAACTCATTACAGCACCAACTCAAAAGTCCGAAGTTCAAAGTCTCATCTGTGTGCCTGTGAAATCAAAACAAGTTATATACTTTCAAGACACAGTGGTGGTTCAGGCATGTGACAGACATTTCCATTCTAAAAGGAAGGAATAGCCAAAAATATATTCTTAAGAGCCACAGGATGTTCAGAGTGGTAAATGAGCATTGGCTTCAACTTAGTCTCCAACTGCAATAGCCCCTAGCAAGAGAGTCTGCGTGTCCTTGGAAGCTTTGAAACCAGACATTGACTTCTCTTTTCTAGCAGTGAAAGTCCTAGGTGGGCCGGGCACAGTGGCTCACGCCTGTAATCCCAGCATTTTGGGAGGCTGAGGCGGGGTGGATCACCTGAGGTCAGGAGTTCAAGATCAGCCAGTCCAACATGGCAAAATCCCATCTCTATTAAAAATACGAAAATTAACTAGGTGTGGTGGCCGACACCTTTAATTCCAGCCACTTGGGAGGCTGAGACAGGAGAATCGCTTGAACCTGGGAAGCAGAGGTTGCAGTGAGCAGCGATTGGGAGGCTGAGACAGGAGAATCGCTTGAACCTGGGAAGCAGAGGTTGCAGTGAGCAGAGATTGGGAGGCTGAGACAGGAGAATCGCTTGAACCTCGGAGGCGGAGGTTGCAGTGAGCAGAGATAGTGCCACTGCACTCCAGTCTGGGCAACAGAGACTCTGTACCCCCCCCCCCCAAAAAAAAAAAAGTCCTAGGTAACATCTATTTCCAACAGAAGGCTGTTTCACCTACACTGAAAATCTGTTGTTTAATGTAGCCACCTTCATTATCTTAGCGAGGTCTTCTAGATAATGTTCTTCAGCTTCTATGTCAGCACTTGCTACTTCACCTTGCACTTTTATGTTATAGAGATGGCTTCTTTCCTTTAACTTCGTGAACTAACCTCTGCTAGTCTCAAATTTTTCTTCTGCAGCTTCCCCAATTCTCTCAGCATTCACAGGACTGAAGAGAGTTAGGGCCTTGCTTGGATTAGGCTTTGGCTTAAGGGAATGTTGCTGCTGGATTGATCTTTTATCCAGACCACTAAAACTTTCTCCGTATCAGCGAAAAGACTATTTTGCTTTCTTATCATTCAGGTGTTCACTGCAGTAGCACTTTTAATTTTCTTCAAGAACTTGTCCTTTGTATTCAGAACTTGACTAACTGTGAAGCAACCAGCCTAACTCTTGGCCTATCTTGGCTTTTGACATGCATTCCTCACTAAGCTTAATCATTTCTAGCTTTTGAGAAAGTGAGAATCAACTTGTGACTCTTCCTCCAACTTGAATGTGTAGAGGCCCCTGTAGGTTATTAGTTGTCCTAATCTCAATATTGACATGTCTTAGGAAATAGGGAGAAATGAGAAAAAGAGACAGGAAACAGGCCTTTTGGTGAAGCAGTCACAACACACACATTTATTGATTATGTTTACAGCTTTATATGGGCGTGGTTTGTGGTGCTTCAAAACAATTACAGTAGTAGCATCAAAGATCATTGATCATAGATCACAATAGCAAACATAATAAAAATGAAAATGTCTGAAATACTGCTAGAATTACCAAAATGTAACACAGATATGCAAATTAAGCACATTCTGTTGGAAAAAATTATGCCAATAGATTTGCTCAAATCTTTATTTTGTAAAAAACACAGTATCTGCAAAGCACAAAAAAAGAAAGTGCAATACAATAAAGTCTGCCTGTGTAGTCGCCTAGTATGATGTCCTTTGAGGCAATCAAAGTTGCTGTGGCATGGAGTCAGAGTTGAGATATTCCAAAACAGATGGCAAGAATTTGTTTTTTTCACCAGGCAAAAGGAACTACTTCTGCTAGTCCTTGTATATCAGATGCTAGAAAAATGCATTTGAAAGGTAAAATGCATTGCAGATATTATTTATTGTAAACTTTTTTACAGCAAGGACACTAAAACTGCCACAGAAAGTTCCTATCAGAGTCTCTACTTGATTAAATTTAAATCAACACTTGTAATCTAGAAGTCTTATAATTGTTAAGTTGGAAAATGGAACCGAAATTTAATGAAATATATCATACAGAAGTATGCTAAGTTTTTGATGCTAGCATTAATCTCTGTAGTTTCTCCAAGAAGGTAGTGCATTTCATTTTCCAATTTGGTAGTAATTAAGATTTACAGCATTTCTAACTTACTGTAATCACCCCAGTTCCTTAAATATGGAATGAAATAGGATTAAAGAAGGAAAGTATTCCTGGAAACTCAGGGGAAATAATGAACATTTTGTCTCTGTTTCTAGTGTGAAATAATTCACCTCCGACAAACTCTTCTCACTCTGAGCATGTCCTTTTCAATTTTCAAATTCCCAAAAGAAGATAATCGCATTGATCCAGGTTTGGTCAGTTTTCTCTGCTTGGATCGATTAGCCACAGCTGAGGGGCAAGAGGAATAGGAATGACAAATATCAGATAAGGGTCACTTTGAGTCCTCAGCCAACCAAATTTAAATTTAAAATTGTAGTTAACTCACTACACTAAAGAAAATGAAGGCTTTCAGCCTCTAGGTGAATTTTAGCTAAGAAAGTTAAAGCTCTTTCTGAAACAGAGCATTGCATTTTATATGAATGGAAAAGTAGTACACAAAAAAAACACAATTATCCTCTCTATTAAAATTCACCAGATTTTAGACACCATGGCAAAGTTTTTGAAAATTTGTACTCCAGACTTAGGTCACTTTTTTGATCTGGTTCCTAAACCTACCAGCGCTCTTCCCTTTCCCTACGTGACATCACTTAGCCTTCTGTACACCAGTTTCTCAACTAAAAATAAAAATAATAATAGCATCCACCTCCCAAAGTTGTTTGAAGAATAAAATAGGTTAATTTTGGAGTGTGTTTATGTATTTTGACTGACTCATAGTAAGCACTATATAAATGTTTATTCAGTAGATACATGAAGCCACACTTACTATAAGAAAAATGAAATATTCAGCTAAATGACTTGAAAGGAGTCATGTAAGATCTCCATTCACCAAAACCATGTGTGCATATAGAGACATTCTTTTAATGCCCTAACACTTTAGAGTATGGATCAAAAAAATGAAAAACTACAATCAAAAGAAAATATGAAAACAGTTGAATAAATTGCTAAATGGCAAGATAGGCTCCTTTAAGCAAAGACTATTGTATGTTTAATTAATTGACATGCAAAAATAATAACTGAGGAAGGATTTAGGGGGTCTTAAATAAATGACAGGTATTTTGCTAAGGAGACTGCACAACTTACCTTGTCCCCCAATCTCTCTTCACAATCTTTCCACTTGTAAAGAGCACATGTATTTTTCTGCTCTGTGCCATGCAGGAACAAGTGCCTCTGATCTTTCATAGGTGGGGAAATATATCTGATCCATCTTGTCTATATTTACATTGATTCTGACATCAAGCTGGGGAAAGGTGTGTTGTTTATTTCTCACACATAAAAACAAGAGGGAAAAGATCTTTCCTCCTCCCCGACAAGATAAATGCCCAAACAAAATCACTCTGCCCATGCTCATGCAATCCCAGGTTTACTGCTGAGACGCTGCCTTCAGCAAGGATGCAGCAATGCTGCTAAAGAAGAGTAGAAACATGGCAGCGGTGGTGACCATCCAGTATGGGGCGTGTCTGAAAGCTGGTAAAAGTGTCTGCTGCTTGCAGTGATGCAGTTTTGAGGGTGGTCTGCCACCTAGCCCATCTGGGTTCATGTCCTTCTGGATTTGACTGCTCAGCTTTGACATGTTCTCATTCTTTTGTTTTCAGTCTCTCCTTGCAATGATGTTGAGTTTTAAATCACTTTCTGCTCACACAATAAGGCTAAACCCAAGTGGTTTATGAAGAAAATAGGGTAATTTCAAAGAATGTAACTATAGTGTATGGTAGGCGGTATAATAGAGGATATTCACCAGTTGGTAATTATTTGTGAAATTTCAATTAAAGCAGTTAATCACAGAGAACAAAATAAATTTAGAAATTAGTGGGAATTTTGACCTAATTATCTCTACACTGAAATTAATCTCAAGAAAGCAATAAAACTAGATAAGTAAATTCAAAAAAAGTACCCTTTAACCAAATTTACTTCTATATATTTTAATGAATTTAGTCATAGAAGTTGGTGACAATTGCTATAATTGTACCTACAGGCCCTTTATTTATAACAATTTAACTGGGAAAAACATAAAAGGAAATATATCAGGAAAGTATAATTTTACATTGTTTAACTTAATACACAGTTAGCGTTTTGACAATTGAGAAGAATATTATTTAGTGTCAGAATGATATGACTCTGTTCAATGTCACCTTCAGTATTTGTGAATAAATACCCTATGATATATCTAGAACTTGTTATTTTCACTTATTTTCCACATTTGTACCTTATTAGATTTCTATCACCCTCAACTAATGCAACAGAATATCAGAAAGAGGCATTTCCAAACTCACAATACATTTTTCAAAAGAAATTGAAATGGTCGCTTGTTTAATTCATAAGTATGAAACATGAGGTGAAGTTTCAAAGGCAGTGGTAAACTTAAAGCAAGGAAAATATGAGGAATCCTCCAAGTTTTGACTCTGAAAATGTTTAAGTAATGCAAAATATTAAATGATTCACAAACAGTACCTTAACTTTCTTGTACTACTCATCAGTAGTGCTATTTAGGGCATGCTGTATTTATAAAAAAAACATCTATACTGAAGTTTAGCATTTCACTAGTTTTCTATCCAATGACTATATACTGAATTTAAACTAAAGATAAAGTATTTTAAACATTGGATAACAAAGAAATGACCATTTATTAATACAGATAAAACACGTAATTGTAGTATGTACAAAACTTCCATATGTAAGAAAACTCAAAATTGTAATCAGAGATAAGACAAATAGCGTATCCAGAACCTCTCTCTCTCCCCCAAAAGAATGGAAGGAAGGAAAGAAGGAAGGGAGGAAGGAAGGAAGGAAGGAAGGAAGGAAGGAAGGAAGGCAGGCAGGCAGGAAGGAAAGAAGGAAAGAAGGAAAGAAGGAAAGAAGGAAGGAAGGGCAAAAAGCTTAGACAGTTTCTGACAATATTCACTTCAGTCTGAGAGAACAAATAACCCCCTCTCCCCAGTGTACCCATTTAGAGATACAGATGGCAAGTAATACTCCAGATATGCTTTCCTCTTGGTTTTGCCTTCTGCAATCAATCTGATCAGTGCTGACGGGTACATTGGAGCAGGTTGTACTCCAAACAAAGGTGCCTAATTAGCTTGGCGGAATAATTGAAATCCACACTGTGTTCTACTTGCCAAGTCAGGAACCCTAAATGTGGGCTGTGTTAGTGTGGAGAGGTGGGCTTTCTAGAATCATACCTTTCTAGAATAACACCAGAGCAGTGGTGCTCCTGCGCTTTTCCACAGGCACACTGACTAGCAGTTTTGATATTGTCCATTGGATTATTATAAAGGAAATAATAAATGTGTAGCTCAATCATTTATCCCAGGCTAATTCATTAGTTAGGAACGTACTTTTTGAGCAATTGAGTCACAAATAAGTAGAAGTTCTGCTGTGCATAGGCAAGCAGAAAATATGGGTACTTTGACGGGTTCAATTTTTCATTCCTCTACCTCCAGAAATTCATGCTAATGTTCTGGGGTAATATCTAATAAGACTACAGTAAGCACACTGCTTGGTACAATTTTGTGCTGTGGACCTCAAACCTGACTTAGCCATATCAAGTCCCCTCCCTTAAGTTTCATATCGTCCTCTGTACAATACCATTAGTCCTCACAGCCATATGGGAAAAGAGAGAAGCATGATCCTTTGTTCTGAACACCTTCTAATCCTGTCTTATAACAGCTGCTCCTATAAATCACTAACCAAAGCGCCTTTCATGGAGCATTTGGTCTTTTCTTCCCACAAGTGGAACTTCTCGTTACCCTTCTTGCCTCCCCCAAAATACCTGCAGAGTGAATGCCCCCTGGTCCAAGATCAGCTTCTCAGGAAGGCCTTTCCTGAACATCCTTTCTAAAATTCCATTGCCTCAAAAACTCCCTATCCCACCCCGCTGCTTATTTTTCTCCTTATCACTTATCTTCTAAGGTACAAAATCATGTATTTGTTTATCTTTTTTATTGTCTCTGTCTCCCACTAGACTTGCTTACTACTGAAGCCTGAGGCATGGAAAAGTGCCTGGTATGAGAGGCACTCCAAGTATTTGTTAAATAAGTAAATAAATAAATAAATAAATTGTGAACTCTAACATTTGATGATCCTCAGAATTCACTCACACGCATTAAAAGAAACTGAGTTTTCCTAGATAATTTAGGCTGCATACTAAAATACTACTTCTTTTTACAGCTTTGTTTAAATTAGCATTATTAATAAGTAGAAGCATGAAGGCATATTTAACAAAAGTATTTCAATTACCCAGGAAGAAAAGGAAAACACAGCTGGACATACAGAACTAGCCTACCTTTAGAGCTAGCAAATGATAGTGTGTAGTATGGCTTGCTTGTTTTCAGGCCTTAGTATGGCTTGCCTGTTTTCAGGCCTTATCATTAAAAAAAAAAAAAAAAGTATCCCCATGTGTCAGGACAGGTGTGGTGCCTCATGCTGCTAATCCCAGCACTTTGGGAGGCCACAAAGGGAAGATCTTTTGAGGCCAGGAGTTCAAGACCAGCCTGGGTAACATACATCCTGTCTCAACCAAAAAATTAACAATTAGCCAGACATGGTGTCATGTGCTTATAGTTCCACCTACTCAAGAGGCTGAGATGGGAGGATTGCTTGAGCCCAAAAGTTTGAGGTTATGGTGAGCTATAATTGCACCACTGCACTCCAGCCTAGGTGGCAGAGCAAGACCATATCTCAATCAATCAATTGTGTGTATCATAAATTTTAAGTTAGCACTGATAATATTAGTGCTGTTGATACTAGAATTATTTTTTCTCGATCAATTATTTTATGAATTCTATTAGACCAACTTTTAGATATGCTTCATTATGATGTGGAAAAATTTGTTTATAAATCCCTCTACCCTGTTAAATTGAGTGCTTTGAGGTAAGTGTTAATGGTGTATACTCACCTGCCTACTAGCTCTATACCCTTTAGCAAGGCTCTATGTTTGTTAGAGTGTAATATGATGAGCATATTTTTAGTAAGAAAGAAGTATGCATATGTATCTCTAAGTTCTTCTTACCTACATACTCTATGTGTCTATCTATCTGTCTATCCATCTATCTATCTATTCATCTATAGCTGTAATTTTATCTATCTATAGATAGCTTTTTTTATATTAACATAAAAAAGTGAAAAAATATGTCCCCATTGCCCACTTTAGGACGCGTAAATATAGAAGGAGTGATTATTAACTTTATATGCCTCAAAATTGCTTGACATACTTCTGATGACATTATTTTTACTGAAAAATTATGTCTCCTGAGTTGAGAGATTAGAAGCATCTTTTTAACTGATTACTGCTTAGATAAATTTAGGCTAGAGTTTACAATTTTCACAGAGGAGAGGAAGCAGTTCTGTGTTAATCTTTTCAGAACACAGAAATCTTTGAAGATTCAGCCAATATTTTAACCACTAACATGCCAAACATTATCGGAAGTATAATAAGGCTAGAAACTTTGGATGCTCTTCCAGCCAAGAGTCTATTATGTCTATATCTTGCAATAGTTGTTATTTGTATATTCATAGACTTCTATAACTACATATATATATCTATATTTATCTGTCACAAAAATGCCTTTATTAATGATTGTTAGTATCTTTCAAGGTAGAAATAGCCAAATGACCAGAAACTAAAACATATTTTTTTTCTCTAATACACTCCATGACCCTTGAAAGGCTGTTACTCAAGCAATGTGCTAACATCAACTCTAGACCATGGCACTGACCTTACAAATCTTTAGCTGAAAAACATTTATATCTCTCATTTGAGAGTGCTAGGATGTAAGGTCTGCTATTATTTTTATCTAGTCATATATAGCCTGTCACATCATCATTGCATTTTGGGCCTTCTTAATGCGTATATTCATTTGCAACTAAAAAGTTTAGAAGAAAAGGCTAGCAATTCTCTTCTACCTCAAAGAATGAAAATCTAGGAAGTTTAACAAACTGATGCTATCATCCCTGTGTTCCTGGGGGCAATTGCAGCTCACACATGTAATTGTGTAGGATAGGCAATGAGAGCTAGCTACTAGAAATTGAGGTTCTGTTTTGTGATTTTTCTAGTTGAAATCATATGATCTTTAAGAATGGGCAAGTTTGAAAAAAATGGCCCATATATTCCTGGTGAAATTAATCAATACCTAATTATTTAGAAGCTGTAAATGCTATCTTTGGCTGACATGCTGACAAAATGTGTTTTCTTCTGTCAATAAAGGCCAAAGAATCAGAAATCTACCATAAAGAAGGTTATTACAGGGCACAAAAGTCTTAGCCTCATTCTCGGATTTAGCTATTTCATCAATTTAATAGTATTCCTGTCCCTTTAATAAGAAAAAAAAAAGAGCTTGACCCTTACAAATATAACTGGAAAATAGTGATACCTGAAACCACAGAAAATACAATACTCTAAAAATAACTTCAGTATTCAGTACATTAGCAAATCCTGAGATATGGAAAAAATAAATATCACCTATTACCCCTAAGAATATATTTAAAATGTCATGCATTGGTCTGCTTTGATATTTAAGTGTTTGTTTTTAATCTGAGAATCAGCTTTCATTGCTTATGGTGGATACTGATGAATCTCCTTCACACCCGAAGTGTAGTTCTTCAGTTGGCTGCTTGATGGCTCAGAGCTGAATCTTTCAGACTAAGAAAACCATCTCACTCAATGCTAAATTCTCTCTCTAAGAATAGTTCCTCCAATGGCTGTTCGCTACAAGGATATATAGGTTTTTCCCATCCCCTTTGCCTCACGGACAACGCTGAAGGGCCATTTGGGTTCCAGAACTCCCTGTGGAATCACCTGCTGTGGAATCCTTTGTTGTGAGTGCATCAGAGATTCACAGATGAACTCCTCCCTCTACCGAATCCTATTGTCTTTATTTCTCTTTATTTTATTATTATTATTTTTTGAGACAGAGTCTCGCTCTGTCGCCCAGACTGGAGTGCGATGGCGCGATCTTGTCTCACCGCAACCTCCGCTTCCTGGGTTCAAGCGATTCTCCTGCCTCAGCCTCCCGAGTAGCTGGGATTACAGGTGCCCGGCACCACGCCCGGCTAATTTTTGTATTTATTTCTCTTTAAGTTTTAATTTTAGGGTTCTTACCAATTAACCTCTTGCATGAAAATCTTTTATTCAGAGTTTTTCTACGACATCAGATCTAAGATACTGACGAAGCAAAAACCATGTACTTAGATTTTAAATTATATCCTACAGTTTTTTTTGATAAAATTACAGCACTGAGTAGCACTCTTCCTCATACCTACGTTCCTCACCATTTTCTTTTGTTATGCCTTAAACCATACACACTTTTATACTTAAATGTAAACTTAGACACTTTGCCTTAAATTTAGATTTCTTCATAATAGTGAAGAACAAACTATTAATAATTAGCCTGTCATAAATGTTTACTGCTTCTAAGGTCACTGAGTTTGTATTTTTTACCATAACTAGGAATTAATCTTTAGAGGCTTAGTTGAATTCAAGTTCTACTTGGAAAGAATCTCCGGTAAATATAGGCTCACATTTTATCTATATAGTGACCAACTGTCCAACTATCTTTCTATTTTTATACATCTGAGCATTAAATAAATATTTGTGTTGAGTTGCTTTTATAATAAAACTGTTGTGAAGACACCATTATACCATATATTACTTCAAATCTTTTCTTTCTTATATCTTTTATAATACTTTTCAGACTCCACTAGTTTTTATACTCCAAACAAACAAAATTACATTTATACCACTAGAGATTATATGGAAGCTTGCAAGTACAATTAAACATTGTTTACATATCTCACAGTAAAACTAGTTCATTAAACTCCTAAATTATAAACGTCATCAGCCTATGAATAACCAGATAAAAGAATATAATTCTAACATCATCTTTAAAACATTTTTCATGGCAAACAGAATACACAAGCTGAAAAAATGCATAAAACATAAACACATTGTAACAAACAGCTATAAAGAAAATACCTGGCCGGGCGTGGTGGCTCACGCCTGTAATCCCAACACTTTGGGAGGCCAAGGAGGGCGGATCACGAGGCCAGGAGTTCGAGACCAGCCTGGCCAATATGGTGAAACCCCATCTCTACTAAAAATACAAAAAAAAAAACAAAAAAAAAAAAACAGCTGAGCGTGGTGGCGCGTGTCTAGTTCCAGCTACCGGGAAGCCTGAGGCAGAAGAATCACTTGAACACGGGAGGTGGAGGTCGCAGGTCGCAGTGAGCCGTGATTGCACGACTGCACTCCAGCCTGGGTGACAGAGTGAGACTCCATCTCAAAAAAAAAAAAAAAAAAAAAAAGAAAAGAAAAAGAAAATACCTGCCTAAGCTACATGTCAAGAAGTAGAACAATCTGAGAGTCTCAGAAGCACCTGTTTGTGTCCCTATCTGATTTTGCAACCCTCCCTTCATCCTAAAAGAGACCAGTATCATTTCTTTCCTATTTAATTTTACTTCTACAAAGATGATTGGTTAATAATGTCTTATATACCTCCCAAACCACCATGTTGTTTAATTTAATTACCTTGAAGATTCTGATTTTTTAAAATTCAACTGTCATTGGACATTGGCATTTTGATGACCTCCTGAAACTAAAACTCAGTATGGTCCAACATAAGCTTTTACATTCTACCCAGTAAAGACCACCCTCTTATATTTTATTGATATATCTTTTCTTTTCATTGATAGCATCAACTCCCCCATTTCAAATTCTGAAGCCTGAATTTCTCCCTCTCCCTGATATACCTCTGTATAAGTTAAAGTTAAATCCTATTCTGTTTTCTTCTAAAATAATTTTAATAGTCTGTCTTTTTTTTTATGTATAGGACTACCTGATAAAGGACTTCCTTATGTCTACTGGACTGTTGCATTTGCCACTCACTTCTTCTCCCTGCTCTAACCTGAGCACTTTAGTCTCTTCCGTTCCTGGACTTAACAGACATTCTATGAATCACAATTCTAATAACGTTTCTCTCTTTAAATCTTTACTGCCTCCCTTTCACTTGATAATGTCCCAGACTTTCATTTGTCATACAAATGAACTCATGGGCTTGCCCAGTCTGGCCTCTCTCTCATTTCCTGACATTCCCTCCCCACGACTTTACACTATAACATTACCAATGGTATTACACTGTATTTCTTTGGGCAAACCATAGTGTTTGCTGACAACACTTACCTTTTCTCTTCACTCTCCCACACTCCCTTCCCACACATAGTCACATTTCTAGAAACTTTATTATTCACCAGGAAAGACTATCTCCCCATGGGACAGCCTTCATCCTGGAAGACTCCCCTCCATGCTATCTTTGTATCTTGGATACAAACTTCTATTTTTGCACGTATCACAATGTCATAACATATTCTAATGCATTTCAGTGACATGTTTCTCACTCCTAACAGCTGTGAACTTGAAATTAGGAGAAAATATTATGTATCTCTATATTTTCAGAGGTAACCATAATTCCTGGTGCACAGAAGATGCTCTTTCAATTCTTGTTCAATTGAATCTGTTCTTAAACTCTGTTTTCATGTCTTATTAATTCACATTTTATAATGACAGCACATGCGTATTTTCCTGAGCTTCATTTCTGCATTCTTTCATTGTTTTATTGAAAATCCTAAAGGGGGCCCTTATAAGGTTGCAAGTGCTCAGGATTATCAGCTCAAACAACTACTAAATGACCTATAGTCAAACCATGTACTTTTATATGACTAGAAGGATTTAGGCCTATATTTATAAACACACTTTATTTTCATATTGTCTATTTTATGTAAGCCATTATGGAAACAACTTTTATCAGCTTTAAAATGTGCCTGGAGAATATAAACCACAGGTTTTATCTAAGAGGTAAATATATATGGTCTATACAGATCATTAACATTTGCAAAATTGAGACAGTAAAGTCACATTTCCTTTGAACTTTCTCTGTTTTTGTCTAATTTATTTCCACAAATTACTCTTAGAAATGAGCTGTTTTAAACAGAAAATTTGAGACACGATTTTCTTTGTATCTTAATTCTACCTTTTTTCCTGATGTGAGAGAAAAACAAAACTTCTTATTTTTCTATATGCTGAAGAAAGATAAGGAGTAATGTTTATTTGTGTTTTTGCACTAAATTATTCTGACGTGGAGATCTTTTTTTCTTCAAGGTGAGTATTTTTCTTTTTTGTGAACTGTCATGCATACTGCAGCTTTCTACTTAACTCTTCTCTTTAGATTTGATTGCATAAAACCACTATTTTATTGTGAATATTATGATCAAGCCCTGCTAATTGATAAATTGTTTTTACTAGTTTGGCAAAATTATGAAAATAATAAACCTCATGGGAAGAGAATAAAACAGACTTTCAAAATCTTTTCTTGGTGTTCTGTTTTTCTTTAAAATACAGCATTAATATTGTATGGCAGTAAACTGTGTTATTCTAGTGCTGGTTTACTGCTGTAGTATTGGTAAGTATGTAAGAATTTCATATTCAATAGTGTTAAAAAGATTTCAATTTGTAGCTCATCTTTGGCTTATATTTAATGGTATTCTATGTTGTAAAGGGAGGAGACACAGAGTAATAAATAGGCTCCTTACCACATTTTGTGAATTCGTATTTACCTAGGGGGAGAATTTAGGCAAATATGTAGGACAAACAACAATACCTTTGCTCATGTTTAAGACAATGCATGAATGTTATGGGAGCTGAAGTTGTGAGAGAACAGTAGCCTTTCCTTCACTTTTGTTTCTTTCATCATATTTTATAGCAGTTTATATATTTAGATTACAGTGTTGGAATATATGTAGCTGTTTTTTGATGTCAATTTTGTAAAATTGACTGTCTATATCCCTCCCTCTCTCCCTTCCTCCATTTAACCTTTTCTTCCCTCCCTTATATTTATTGATTAATTATATTTATTTTTCCTAGAAAATATGGCTAAATATCTATAAATTTAGAGATAGGTGAATATATGTTTATAACTTGAGATATTCTCAAAATATAAAACAGAAATCCTTACCGAAGATGTGGCTAACAAGCATGCCATGCTTTTTTACTATATTTCTGTAAATATATGGTTGCTGAATAATTTCTTATGGCGTACCTCATTATTAAGTGTATTCACAATGTTGTACAACCATTATGACTATCCATTCCTAGAATTTGTTTATCATCCCAAACAGAAACTCCATACCCATTAAATGATAACTATTTCCCCTTCACCTCAGCCCTTATCCACCACCATTACACTTATGTCTCTATTAGTCTATTTCATATATCTCATAAGTGGAATCATACAATATTTGTCCTTTTTTTTGTTTTGCTAACTTCGATTAGTATAATTTTCTCCAGGTTCATCCATGTTGTAGTATGTGTTAGAATGTCCTTTCTTTCTAGGGCTGGTAATATTATATTGTATGTATATGGCATATTTTGTGTACTGATTCATCTGTTGATGGACATTTGGTTTGTTTCCACCTTTTCCAGAGTCTCACCCAAGCTTTTTTTCCATGCTTTGGATGGTCTATTTATGTCTCCGCATGGAATCTCTTGCCCAAGGATTTTAAGTTTTTAATCCCCTTATATCTTTAACAAGCAGTTTCTTCCCGATTTTCCACCTGCATTTTGAGTTATGTGAGCCAAAGATGAGCAAGTCAGTCCTTTAGGTGACTCTCAGGAGAGTTATAGCAGATACACACAATAATTTGCAAAGTTAGCTCTGTTCCCTCCAGTTCGAGGGAGAGAACTGGGGATCCTGGGCTACCGTCATTCGAGATCAAGACCAACATGTAACTAGAATGAGGGCAAGTAAAATACCACAACACTTTTCTACCATTTTAAAGATTTTTTTTTCTTGAGGTATTCTCGTGGTTGCTATGAACCTTTGATTGTTTTCCAGAGCTCTGACAAGGTTGGCTCAGACAACCTGTGATATTTTTATTGTTGTTTCTTTCCGTAGTCGAGTAAGACCTTAAACTTCCTATTCTGCCATTTTGTTCCATGCTTCATATTTTTTCAGCATTGTAACTTATCTGGAAACAGCTTATCCATACCACACACTTCCCAAAGCTGCATATAAAAATCAGGACTTTTCTCCCTGAACGTATAATAAGTTCCATTTTTCAATAATTTTTGATTCCCCCAATTCTTTCAACTATTAGTGACCCTTCATCTAGAATGTTTCTCAAATCTAATATTGTTTTTTAAAAAGTAAATCCTTCAATATTTTACCATTTTGCATTATTATAAATTACTCTCATATTTTCATTTTAAATATAGTTAATATTTGCAAACAAAAAATTAAATTATATTTCCTTAGTGGAGTAAGCATACAAGTATTATATTTTAAACATAAATAAAATAGATAAGACAAGCTATGAAAATGACAAGCAGATACTAAATTTTATATTGATATGAAAGAGTCTTGGAATTTCTAAAGAAGTCTTGAAAAAAAAGTTTGGAGTACTTAAACCTCTCCAATTTTAAAACTTACTACTTACAGCTACAGTGATGGTGTGGTGGTGGCATTAGGATAGGCTTATAGATCAATAGAATACATTTGAAGTTTCAGAAATATACTCATCTAGTTATGGTGAATTTTTTTTTTCTTTTTAGATGGAGTTTCACTCTTGTTGCCCAGGTTGGAGTGCAATGGTGCGATCTCGGCTCACTGCAACCTCCACCTCCTGGGTTCAAGTGATTCTTCTGCCTCAGCCTCCTGAGTAGCTGGGATTACAGGCACCCGCCACCATGCTCAGCTAAATTTTTTTGTATTTTTAGTAGAGATGGGTTTTCACCATGTTGGCCAGGCTGGTCTCGAACTCCTGACCTCAGGTGATCTGCCCACCTCAGCCTCCAAAAGTGCTGGGATTACAGGCCTTGAGCCACCGCGCCTGGCCAGTTACGGTGAATTTTTTTAAACAAGGTTGCTGCCACAATTCAATGGGGAAAAAACTTTTTTTATCAAATGATGCTCAGATAACTGGATAGCCACGTGCCAAAGCATGAAATTGGAACCTTCCCTTACACCATCTATATACATTTGCTCAAAATGGATTATGAGCCTAAATTTAAGAGCTAAAGCTATGGAATACTTAGAAGAAAATACAAGAGCAACTCTTTGTGACCTTAGGTTAGGCAATAGTTTCTTAGATATGACACCAAAAGCACGAGTGACAAAAGAAAAAAATGAATTGAACTACATCAAAATTGAAAACTTTTGTGCTTTAAGTGATATCATCAAGCAAATAAAAGGACAACCAACAGAATAGGAATAAATATTTGCAAATCATATGTTAGATAAAGCTGTCCAGATCACAAAAACACTCTTAGAGCTCAATGGTAAATAAAGAAATAATCCAATTAAAAAGTGGACAAAGAATTTGAATAGATATTTCTCTGAAGTGCTTACACAAATGACCTACAATCACAGGAAAATATGCTCAAAATAATTATTCACAGGGAAATGCAAATAAAGCCACAGTGAAATACTACTTCACATTAACAGTTTGGCACTCTGTAAAATTGTGAAACTTAGAGTTGCCATATGACCCAGCAATTCCACTCCTATGTATATATTCCAGAGAAATGATAACATATGTTCACACACACAAAACAAACACAAAGCTGGTTAAGGGTGGCTACTTTAGATAGGGTAAAAAGATTTCTCTGGGGAGCTAATATTTAAGCTGAAGGCATAGTACAGTGAGAAAGCTCAACATGTCATGTTCTGAAGGTAGAGTTTTACAGACTAAATGCAGTAAAATTATGTAACTCATGAGTGCATAGCATCTAAAATCATTTATTTAATGATTGGAAAAAATGTAATCTACATATAAAACAATGAACATATACTATTATTATCCCAGTTTTCTATTTCATTTAAGGATACTGAATTACACGGGATCAAATGCCATTTCCAAAATTATATAGGTTTTAGATCAATTATTCACAAAGTACACCATAGCAAAAGAGAGTATGCTGGTACTGTAACTGAACATTGTCATCCTCTGAATAGTTACTGACCAGCAAAATAAATAAAATATCAGAAAAGGGGAGTCTGAGCACTTCTAACACTTCCAACAACTGCAAATTTTCCAAGGAAATATTATTGTTCACCTGTATGAGACAATTTTGCAAATCTCATATTTAGTTTACCTAAACATAGCAATGTGCCTATTTTGCAAAAATATCTCAATGAAAATACTGTGCAGATGTTTTTATAAGCTGATTTTAAAGAGTTCATTAGGAAGCAATTGTATAATAACATCCCTTTAAAGAAACAAATGGCATTGTACGCACTGTCAAAGGGCTGAAGCATGAACACTGCTATAAAAAAGTTTTATTCTCAGAAGCTGGGTGAAAAACGTTACTCTTACATTTTTTCAGGAAGCTGTTAAGGTAATGAGCTCTTAAATAAGAAGGGAGCAGAATATGTAGAAGTGGAACTACAAATGGGCAGTTCCAGTTTCTCAATAACAAATTTATACCCTTAAAAATTGTACATATACATACTAGTTTTAAGGTGAATTAAAATTATAAAAGGGTAGACTTCTGGCATTTTCTGACAGCGTGCCCCACATAAATAAGGAGTGTGGAAAGGGCAAGTAATGAACAAGAATTAGTCATTGAGAGTAATCAGATTGATTTGTAATCATGGGAGTTTCAACAAAACGTCAATGACAGATGGAAAAAAAACATAAAATACAAGTTTGTTCTCCATTAAAAATAATCAGGCAAAATATTGAAAAAAATTTTGTCTTAAAGAAAATAAAAATATCAATACGAGGGGTAATGCTTACTATTACATTCAAAACAATGATGAAAGTGAGTTTTTATTATACATATTAATTTGAAATTTAATTAACTATCTACCATTAACAGAGTGTAATTTAACTCCATACCATGTTTTAGTTTCCAATGGGTAAACTAAATCTAAATAATTTTTAAAGAGAAAACAAAATTAAAAAGTACTTCCTCCATATATGGTTTTGGTACTTGAAAATGAATCTCATTCCATAAATTAAGGCGTGTATAAAAATTTAAATAAACTTAAATCCATCTTGCTATCCCACCATATTTCAGGAAATTTTATCTTATTTATTATTAGGGCTTCTGCTTGAGGTCTGCAAAGTTCTGATGGCTTAACTTGCATGAAAGGCCCTAGATGGCCCCTACCATTCATTCATATTGATGTCCATGCTGGTTATCAGTGAAATCCCCATCGCCCCTTCAGGCTGAATTGCCCTCCTGTCTCTAAATCACCCTCAAAGTTGTTAGAATCTTGAAAGAGACTTCTCTTTGGTTTATAGCTCCATAAGTCATTCTACACTCATTGTATGAGTCCCTGCTATCTCCCTGGGGCACTGCCACTGAGTTTTGCTTAAGTTTCTACAACCTGTGGTACAAACACCCTAAAACTTTTTCCAGCTTGGGAGAAAAAGATGACCTCCCATATGTGCCTATTGGCTCCCTCCTCTGGACACCTAATGGAAGCTCTAAATAGAGTTTAGCCTTTTTTTTTTTTTTTTTCCCCTAGAAGAAGAGGCTTTTGTTCCCAAACATTAATATTTCAGTTGGTCACATATACAAAAGTGATTCTTGAAATGTCTAAAGTATCATGCAGGGAGAGGCTATTATAAGGTTTTTCTGAAACATTTTAGAAATTAATGGTTATATGGATACTGAAATACGACTAAAGACTTTATATTGAGTTTGTATAACAAAATGAATAATTCTGTTATACACACATACACATGCACACAAATCAAACCTGAATTTAGAATATAGAGAAACAAACATATATTTGCCATCAAAGAATAAGCTCCATTTTGCTTCATTTATAGGAGACAAGTTGGTTTTATGAGAAAAGAAAATAAATAAAATGATTTGGTAAAGTCTCAAGAGTCTCAGATATGTGCTAATTTCTTTTCATGTTAAAATAAAAGATAAAATATTTTATGTCTATAAATATATTTGAAAATCAGAAATAACAAAATTTAAGATAAATATTGCACAAGAAAAATAATTTTAAACCTTTTAATGATGTTTCAAACATACATATTTATATAAATTGAATTGAAAGATGATCTTTAAACATAAATATATATGAATATTAATGATAATACTGTTAAGAAAATTACTTTTTTTTGCACTTAAGTATTAAAATAGTAGAGAAAAACAGAAAATTTATAAAATGATAAAAATGCAACGTAACTAATTTGAAAGAAAATATTCAAGGTAACTCTTGCATTTTAATTAAGCAAATAAGTTTTAGATGAATTTAAAAGATGATATTTTAAAATAATACAACTGTTTTATGAAGAAAACTGTTAAAAATATTTCATTACTTTTTAAATTAATTAATGTTACCTACATTAATACATTACTGAAAATTCTCCAGGGCTCATTAGTTCTTCTATTTCTATTTTCTTAAGATATAATATTGGAATTTAGAACTTAAGATCTGAGATATTTCTTGTTATCTAATATGAGCATTTAATTCTATAATATTTTAAAACTTTCATAAGTTAAAATTATACAAACATTGCTTTAGCTATGTCCTACAAATTCTACTGTCTTCTCAATTCATTTCTAACATCTTCTATAGGTAATCAATTTCATTATTTTCTTGTTTCTTATAGATATATTTTTTTCATAAAAATAACCCCCCCAAAATTATATTCTTTTTCTTGTTATGGAAGAATATAACATGCTATGGAGTCTCTATTTCTCCTCTTTTTTAAAAAATTTAAGAGTATATCCTGGAAATCACTCTATGTAAGTTTATATACATTTCCTTCTTCTAGTTTTATATTACCCAGCACTACATTGTGTGAATGCATCACATTTTAATTACTTTCCCAAATATGGGCAATGACATTGTTACCAATATTTTGTAATTGTGAACAAGACTGTGAGGAATAACCTTCTGCTTATGAAATTGTTTATTGTTGGAAGTGCGCCTTCACAGTAGACTTCTATTTAATGAGATTTCTGGGTTAAAAGGTAAGTTCACTTGAGGTTTGTTTGGTCCTCTGGAAATGTTTTGCCACTGCATTTTCACCAGGATTGTGTAAAAGTTGTTTATTTTATTTTTCTGTCTAATTGCATTTGCTAAAACCTCTAGTGAAATGTTAAATTGTGGCAGAAATAGTAGTCAGACTTTCCTGGATTGACTAAAAAATGTCTCTAATGTTTGTTATGCATTTAAGATACTGACTTTAGCACTAAAGTATTTCTCAATTATGTTTTTAGAAGACTTAAAAATTAAGAAATGGTTGTTAAAATTTATTGAAATTATTTGTAGCATGTATGGGAATAAGCATATGTTTTTCTCCTCAGAACTATTGATATATTATATAATATTAGTGCATTTTCTAATATCAAACCAACCTTGAATTACTGGATTTAATTTCACTTAGTCCTTAGTCATTTTGTATTTGTTATCTTATGCTCTCTTTTATGATATTATATTTAATATTTTTACAGGAATATTTTTTCATAATATTGGTCTAAACTTATTTATATTTTCTTTATCGGATTTAAGACACAATATTTTCCTTGTTGTATAAAAGATATTAGGATTGTTTTATTTTAGAAATGTTTGGGAACAATTTATAGTGTATCAGTACTATCTGCTCTTTGAAAGTTTGGCTAAATATCTTAACACAATCATATAAAGAAAAAAAACTTCATACAATAACCAAAACATATTTATCAGAGCAAAATGTTCATTTAGATACATACAATCCAAATAATCTATGAGCTGTGATTTTCCCAATAAATGATAAAATTAGCTAATCACAAAGATCATTTTAAAAGGGAGGTAATAGGTCAGGAAAGAGAAAATATGCTACCCTGCTAACTTTGAAGATTGAGGATGGGCCCATGAGCCAAGAAAAGTAGGTGGCCTATAGAAATGGAAAAAGGAAAGGACAAATTAATAGGTATCTGCTAAAGTCTCCAGAAGGAACACATCCCTAAGACTTCTGACTTCTAAACCTGTAACAATGACTATGACTGGTTTCAAATCATTGAATTGTGGTAATTTATTTTAACAGTAATAGGAAACAAATACAAATTTCCTGAATGGAGACCAACTAGATTGCGTATACATTTACCATTAGCTTCAAAAACTCTGTTGTGTAGTTAGGAAAACTGAAGGACTTGGTTTAGAAAGTGAGTGAATATATGCTGTAAAAAATGGTGTAATATTTTGTATAACTGGTTTTCTCTGAATTAGCCGGAAACATAAAAAATTCATCTAATATTTTCTTTAACTCTACTGAGGAAAGAATCATGGAGCTTACAGATCCTAGGACTTTGCAAGACAACACTGAAGGATTGTAGTTACAGTAAGCTTAAACAGGTGAAATTCTGAATTTGGTCCTCATTTGTTGCCAAGAAAACAGATAAAATCTTTTGTACATTCATATTGTTGTTGATGTTTTTTAATATTGCTTTTGCAACTGCACCTATAATTTTTAACATCCAGAATTTCAGAACTTAAGGTTTTATGTTTTTTGGAAATCAAACCACCTAAAAAGGCTAAATTAGATAGAAAAACATTGTTCACAAAGCAGCTCTTCAGTCATTATTTTGTTAAAGCTGATTTAGATATTTCTCAGAATTTTAAAGAGTAAATGAAAAATTAATAGTTATTCAAGCCCAATTTACAAGAAAAATAATTAAACTTTTTAAAAATTAGATTTCTATGAGCAATGTGATTATGTTTGAATAGACTCATAAAAGTGCTACATTTATTATAATATAATTTAGAAAACTGGTGGCACTTGTATATCTAGGTATCACACATACAAATATTTCCCAAGTCCTTTTTTTGACAAAACTTCAAAGCAAGTGCAGAACCAACTTTAAAGATTCCCTAGTGGCATAATTAACACTTCTAGATCTTCTTCTAATTAATCACTGGGGACACTTGACTAATGTGGATTTAACTGCTAATTCAAAAGTTTTCTTTAAACTATAGTACAACTTTAATTTTTTAAATAGTCTCTAGTTAGAATTGCATAGCTCAATACTAATAACTTTATTTTTGAAGAGGTGAATTCATGTTAACATTTTACCAAGTGAAATGTCAACACCCCTTAGAGCTATTGTGGCTACATCAATGTCTACTATCTCTGGAGTCATTTTTTAAAAATCAGAGTTAAAACTAGTATTAATCATGCATTTTTCAAAGATGTAAAAGAACATATCAATTCACAGTTGATTAGTTTTTCCTTCAGAATTAATAAAAGCGTCACCAAAGAGATAGTGCTACTTAAACTACATGTTTAAAAATTTGTGTTAATTTATTTGTAACTTGGTTAAAAAAATCCACATAGAATCATATTTCTAAAAGAGAATAAAACTAATTATAAAATATGACTTATTTTGTACTTTCCATCATTGTACATGTCTGAATATTAGATCAATATTTTTGTACTTAATGACTTTTAATCTACTATTCAAAGTAAGTTTATATGAGTAAACAGGAGATTGGTCCCTTATATCAATGACTTTCACACTTTTGAATATTCATTGATTCTATTTAGACTTTTATTTCAATTTTATATCCTTACACTGGTATATTCTGAGTCTTGAGGTTTAAGGTTACTCATAAGCAGAGGCAGGCATAAGTTTGCAGCAACAGGATTGTCAGTAACTTGAGAGCAAATCTAAATCCATCAATTTAAGGAATACAGAGCACCGACTATGTGGTGCTTACAAATCCTAAATCCTAGGACTTTGTGACTATGTGAAAGGCACTTTTCTAGGATTCGGAGAAACAATGGTTAAAAAAAAAAAACCCACACACACACAAAACAGAGCTCCTGCTTTTATGAATCTTATATTCTAGTGACTGAATAAGCAAAAGGACTCTCAGTAACAGGTTTGAAGAGAACTACCGACCTCTGCATTTTTTCATGGATTAGGGCTTGTATGGGCAATTCTTGCTCAAACCACACATAGATGATTATGGAATACTACTGTAATTCATAACATTAATCTACATTTCAAAATGAGTTGTAAGATAATTTATATAAAACAATTGCAGAAACAATCACCTGTGTGAAGTACTTCAAGAACAGAATAAAACAATGTAATTACTGTGAACCAGAACATAACTACTAGTATCTAAACATTACTGCAAATATTAAAATAGAAGGCTATTTATGGTTGAAATCTGCATTCTTCATTAAACCTTATACTGTTTTACTATTTTATGGAGATTTAAAGCTAGTTATATAAATTACTTCTGGATAAAGAATGGAATCATATGTTGCAAGCCCTATTATATAAGACAATAATCAAACAATACATAGACATTTATTTATAAATGTCTACTGTTAAAGATAGTGTTATTACTTACAAAGTATTTTTTAACCTTAGATTTAGATAGCATCTCAGTATTAAGTGGAATGAAATGAAAATTAATTATAATCATTCTGGGGATAAAATTACGTTTTTTATAATATCCGCAGTTTATACCCACAATAACATTAATTATCTGGAAAAATCTCATTAAAGACCCATGTTATTCAACGAAAGTGCCTTACCAGTCGTTCTGCTAACAACAGTTATTTAGCAGGTTACAAGTGTAAATAAAACACCTGAGTAAATTTTAGATCATAATGTGAAGGAATAATCCAAACAATGATGTCTAGTATTTTGTTGTATCAGTTGGCTGTCCTGCAATGATTCAACTGAGAACATTCTGTGCTTATTATCCAGTAAAGAAATGACACAGAAGAAATTTGAGGGCAAAGGGAAACTACATTATGCATAAAAGCAAAGCTTCACCCATGATAGAAAGAATTCCTAGGGCTTGGAAGAAGGATGAAAAATAAAGTAATGAAGCTGATAGGGTGTGAAAAGAGAGAGCTAACCCCAGTGGGACCTTGCCTTACATGAGTTAACATTCAGAGAGACTGCCCAACTAAAATTTTAGCAAGCACCACCCATCTCTTAGTCTGTGAATTGCATGAGTTTCAAGCTAGAGAACACACACCATTTAGTCTTCTTTTTATAAGCATCACACAGTGCCTTTACCAAAGTATTAGCGGAGTTAATTGGCTTTTCTTTTAGCATCTCTTCTTTCATGAACATTGAGCATAACTTCCATTGACCATTCAAAAGGGATGATACTTAGGCACGTCTTGAGACTTTGCTGTATTCATAATAAAATTATCCTGTGAGGACACCCCTCATTTCTGCTAAACTGCCACTAACACTTTTAAAGTTTCAGGTTGTTGGCAAGTATCTGAGATAAAGAGAGAGCCTATGTGCTTAGTCCACCAGTGATGGCAGAAAGGAATGGCTCATGAACCTGTCTACATGTGGAGCTAAATGGAACCAACTCAACATCATTCCCCCTCCCACTTGCCACACTAAAAATAAATAAATAAATAAAAGACTTATATTTCTGAGTCATGTTTAAAATTAATTAAAAGGATGTTTGTATGAGTCCATTATGGCATTAAACCAATTCCACAAAGTAGTCTAGGGAAAACCTCATGCTATCAGATCCCTCTTGCGTTCTGCAATTTCTGAAAAAAAGATGTTCATTGCAAAGTGATATGAGCACTGGAAAGGTACTAATTCCAATTTGATTCTAATTGGATGAGTGACATGGGTAAGCGATTCTAAGCATTTGTGTTTTTTTTAGTAGTATGGAATTTAATTAGTTCTCAGTATGTTAGTGAAGATTGAATGAAAACATGCATATGTTTCCATGTATTATAAATATTTTAAAATGCAAAAAATTATTCTAATGAATATATAAATATAAAGCATAACAATAATAATACAATACCACCCATAAAGTCATCATCTAATTTAAAAACTAAAACATTAACACTTGAATCTCCCCCATTGCAACATCTTTCCCGACTTGTGTGTTTTTTTCTTTTGCTTTTAAAATTTTTGTTTTATCATATGTCTGCATAAGATTATATAGCTTTCCTTGTTTTAAGCTTTTTAAATAATATATTGTAGTTATATTATTTGTGCTTTGCTTTTTTTACTTAACATTATGGTTCTAAAATTCAGTAATGTGTTGGGCATGTATAATTTGTTTATTTTTAATCTCTTTGACATTCGACTATATAAATTTCAGTTTGTTTATTGACTCCTTTGTCTATAGATACTCTGCTATTTCTGTTTTTGCTGTTACAAAAATAATGCTGTTTTAAATTTCATTTTGTATACTTTTTTGAGGCATGTGTATGAGTTATTCTAAGGTAAAAAAATAAGAAAAAATTGCTGGGTTATAAGATTGTCACATGCTCGAATTTACAAGATAATGCCAAATCATTTTTCAAAGTAATTATACCTATTTATACTACCGGTATGAGTATATTGGTGCCCACATAGTTGCTTGTTCTGCCAAAGTTTGGTATGATCGAACAATAATTTTTGCCCATCAAATGGCATAAAATAAAATCTCAGTGTGCTTTTAATTTGCATTTTCTATGTTTAAGAATTGTTTCTTTTTTAACCATTTATAATTTACTTTTGCTGAAATGCTTGCTTATTATTTTTGCTCCCCATTTTTTCCTATTGGATTGCTTTTCTCATTAATTTATAAGAATTTTATATGGTTTAGATACTAATTATTATATTACTGAAAATACCTTTATCAGTTTGTTGTGTACTTTCTACTTTATGTCTTGTGATGGATAAAAGTTTTAAATTGTATTGTGTTGAAGTTAACATTTTTAAATTTTATAATCAGCATCTTTAATAATCTCTTTATAAAATTTTCCTTTACATAGATGTCATAAAGATACATCTCTATAATTTCTTATTTTTTTGGCATATGTTCATTAAGTCATTTTATCATTTTTTAGTAATAAATTGCAGTTATTTATGAAACAAATAATTTTTAAAATTATATATGCTTTCTTTAAAAATTGATCTTAGCATGCTTCACTATGAAGCTTGAGGCTTCACTGCACGTTGTACTGAAATTATGTATAAAACAGTGGTTCTGAAAATCTCTGAGTTCATGACACCTTTAGTGTCTCAGGTTTTTTTGCTTTTGTTCTTGTTTTTTCTCACAAAGCACCTAAGTTAAATAAAAACAAAGCACAAAGCTATCAGCTTCATGTATTAAGTAGTAAGCTCCCATGTTAACAGTTGTAACTTGCCTGGTGCCCAATAGATGTCACTCTGTTTTCCTAGAAACTTTAAAATATCCCTCAGTGCTCCTGTTAATTCATGGTAGTGCCCCAAGGCACTCTGGCACCCAGTTTTGGAACTGCAGTTTTAAAAGTCATAAATTGAATGAAAATGATAGCAAAGGTGGAGGTTTTTAAAGAGCTATTTATAGGTCCCTGGACAGCATCTTTTTTCAATTAGGCAGCAACCTTTTTGCCCTATGCCGTAACCTGTGTCTGCAACTTCCTCTAATTGGGGTGAGTAAGAGATTTTGTTATGTATATAATAGCTAAGAATATAGTAATAATGGCTTAAATCATGGTTATTTTTAAACTACTAACATTTAGAAGACAAAATAAAAATGCTTTGAAAAGTATAGAGGTTTTAGTGTAATTAGCAGGGAATAATGAAATGATTTGATAGGGCTACTCAGTTTTGTATAACTTTGGTGCTTTAAGTCTGAATGCAGAGCATGGATGTTGTGATCCAGCCTTTATATGTTTTCCCTGAAGAAGATTTAATTTATTTGGCCTTTTGAGAAACACATTTGGCATTGTAATATGTTTTGCTTCCAGGTTCTATCTCCAAGGATAATTTGACAAAATCACACATAAATTTATTTTCAGGGCACACAGTTTCCCTTTTAGGGAACTCACAGAGGTAGAGAGTAATACAATAATCACATTTGAATATTCAGTAAGTGAGGTCCTCATAGATCTTATGTGTATGTCACCATGTATATAATTTTGTTAATCACTAGATGTATGAGACAAGAAATTTGAGGAACCTTAACTAGAGATTAAAATAGGGATTTAAATCAAAGAAACATTTAAATGCCTCCTTTATTATTTAAATACCTGCATGGTGAATCATTGAAAAAAAAATAAAAAGCATACAACTTGGGAATATTCTAAACCAAGAAGAATTTGTTATTCTGGTTGATTTTTTTTTTTCAGGCTCCCACAGGCAACTTACCTTTATCTCTTTGTGATTTTTATTTCTTGTTAAAATATACAGAAATAGTTAAGCAGATTCATAGAGCTGAATGATAAAATTGTACTACGAGATGCACTGGGACTCAACGTGACCTTATCAAGTGAGGTGAGCCATTCATTAATTCAGATAATGGAACTTATTATCATAATCTTTTGCTTATGCTATTGTTGAGCTTAACTACTTATTCATATTTGCATATGCATATTGAGATAATATCATTTCATTAATTTCAGTACTGAACACTAATCTCCTAAGAGTAATTGTGAAAGTTTCAGATTGCACTATTTTTAACTATATATCTGTATGTTATCTTCATATATGCTTGAATAACTTATAAGCAATTGAAACTTTCAATTACAGTATACTATTGAAGCAAATCAACTAATATATACACATATCCATTAGCAATAGTAGATAATTTTTGTAAATGTCCAGCACAGTTCTTCATATGTAGAGGATGTTCAAATTGGCTAAGTTCCTTTTCTCTCTTAATTATTAGTATTTTTCCTACTGCTCTTTGTATAATTATTCCTTCCTCTTTAGCTCCAATCCTTACAATCTATTCTTAACATAGCAACTGGAAGAAAGTTTTTAAACATAAACCAGATGATGTCACTCCACCCCACAAAACTTCCACTATTCTCTGTCACACATAGAAAGAAAGAAAAAAAATATTGAAAACCTACAAAGACTTGCTATGATCTGGTCCAGGCTCTCCCTAAAATTTCATGTAATTTCCAGCCACTAGGCCTTTCTGGCTCTCCTTCAATCTCATTAGCCTTTTCACTACTACAAGTTAGACTGGGTTTTGGCCGAGGTATTTCTTTTTTTCATATTTTGCCTTTGCCTAGATTGCTCTTCCAATAGATATTCACAATTGCATCATCATTTCTATATACGTGCTAAAAGGTTTCCTTGTCCAAAATAGCTTCAGTGACCACCTGATCTAGAATAGTCTCGATCAAAAGTTTCTTTTCCTTTTCCTCACCACTTGATATTTATATCAAACATTTATTTGTGTAATTTATGTGTTTGTTTGTTTTCTGTACTAGCATTATGATGACCATACTATTTGATGCCCCCCAAAAAATACTTTCGAGAATGACAGGGAAAGCTAAAATAATTAAATTATATAATTTTGACATAGGCACTATTGACAAAAAGCAATTGATGTTATGATAGTGTTAGATCTATGAAATAGTACTATTTAAAAGTAATTCTCTGAAATACAATTTTCTAAAACTAAAAGCAGCATATGTACATGAAACACCAAAAAACTTCCTTATATTTATCACTGGAAGATTTAAAATAGTATAAGTAGTAACTTATTTAATATATTTTTGATTATTTAATTAATTTTATAGTATCCAACTCTAATATAATGCCAGTGGTATTTGTTCAAAATATTTTAATGTTGTCTATTTATTTTTAATTTGCCTAAAAATTATCTTAAATGAAAATTTTTGGTTAATAAATTTGAAAATACTGAAACCCTCATCTCAGTCTCTGTGGATCCTAAAGTTTTTAGTTGAGAAAATAATTTTTCTCTAGAGAATGAAGTAGCTTGTAAGCTTGGAGAAATTTCTGCTAAATAAATGATATTATCAACTCTATTTTCTTCAATACGAAATATATAAATATTTCAGCTCATATATTTTTGCAGGTGCTATGCTTTTGCTTCCAATCATAATTTCTGACAAATATTTTGGAAGTCAAAACTTGTCTTCTATTTTGTTATTTAAAATTATATAGACTACTTTTGTAAACCTTTATACTATCAAATCATAGGCAATTTCAGTTTGATTTCATTCTGGTGCAGAATATAAGTTTATCCAAGTAAAACTGGAGTCACTTCAAAAGATTCCTCCCACTGACTGAGATATTCCAAAGCCAACTTTGCAAAATTTCAGAATTAAATATTATACTTCTTTGTACCTTCATTTTATTTGTTCAATTTTTCTTTGTGTTTGTAGAAAATTTTAATATTTTTCTGTTTTCAAGTTTTGATTTTAATTTACTACTTTATAATTTTTAAAGGTAAGTTTTGTGAGGCTATATTCATTATGTGTTTTGAATAAAGACATACAATTAATTTTGAGAACTGCAATAAAAATTATAAGACTATTAAAAATGCAGTAAGTGTACTACACTTAGGCTGCTAAAAATGCAGTATCAGTAGACTACATTTAGGCTGCTTAAAGTTAGTTCTTCTAAGTACCATATACTTTAAAATTTTAGCTAATGATGGAGAACAAAGACAGAAAGACTGTGTTACCATATTCTAGTTGGCCATTTTGTTTTGTTTTGAGAGACGTCACATCAGCCTTATCATAAAAATTATTTGGTTTTACCATTTTGACTGTGAGCAAAATATACAGCATAATATACAAAATAAAATATATGTACATCTTCACAACTTCTTGTTTAGGATGCAATTATATATATATATATATATATATTTATTATTATACTTTAAGTTCTAGGGTACATGTGCACCACGTGCAGGTTTGTTACATATGTATACATGTGCCATGTTGGTGTGCTGCACCCATTAACTCGTCATTTACATTAGGTGTATCTCCTAATGCTATCCCTCCCCTCTCTCCCCACCCCACAACAAGCCCCGGTGTGTGATGTTCCCCTTCCTGTGTCCATGTGTTCTCATTGTTCAATTCCCACCTATGAGTGAGAACACGCAGTGTTTGCTTTTTTGTCCTTGCAATAGTTTGCTGAGAATGATGGTTTCCAGCTTCATCCATGTCCCTACAAAGGACATGAACTCATCATTTTTTATGGCTGCATAGTATTCCATGGTGTATATGTGCCACATTTTCTTAATCCAGTCTGTCATTGTTGTTGGACATTTGGGTTGCAATTTTGAGTTTCATGTGTAGCATGTATAGCACAACCAATTAAGATTTCTTTCTTTCTCTCTTTTTTTTTTTTTTTTTTTGAGATGGAGTCTTGCCCTGTCTCCAAGGCTGGAGCCCAATGGTGTGATCTTGGCTCACTGCAACCTCCACCTCCCAGGTTCAAACGTTTCTCCTGCCTCAGCCTCCCAAGTAACTGGGATTACAGGTACCCACCACCATGCCCAGCTAATTTTTTGTATTTTTAGTAGAGATGGGGTTTCACCATGGTGGCCAGGCTTAGTCTCAAACTCCTGGCCTCATGTCTGCCTGCCTTGGCCTCCCAAAGTGCTGAAATTACAGGTGTGAGCCACTGTGCCCGGCCAACATTTCTTAACCTAGTAGTTTAGTTTTTATAGTTTTATTACCGCAGTGAACGCTACACCAAAAATTTCATTTGAATTATTAACATAAAAAGAAATAATTTTGTATTAAACTTTTAAACTGAATTTTCAATAGCATTCACAATCATATTAAATGTTTCACCTTTTACAGAATAAACTTCCATGAGCTTTATTTGTTAACATTTATTGATACACACAATTAATAAAGCATGTAAGTAATAAACTGAAATTACTTAACTGGTTGAGAAATTTTTTTTTTGCTAGGAGAACCAACACATTAAGAGCAGTATCTTCAATTTTCATACATGAACAAGAAAACTTCGAAGCAAAAATGAATATATTTAATTTAGAACAATGATTTTTATTTGAAAAGTCACATTGCACAGAGTGATATATAAATGAATTTTCTGAAGATATATGTGTTAAATCAGGGCTTTCAGGCACAGTCTGCTTAAAACTTTGGAAAGAGATACTATTTTTTTTCAGTGCATTTGTATCTTCTAATTTTCTCATAGTAATATCACAGGGTCCCCATAGGTGATGCTGAATATGGGCAACTGGTTTTTTTTGTTTTTTTTTTTTTACCTGTTGTCTTAGCATTCCCTAAAACAGGGGTCACCAAATCCCAGGCCACCTAGTGGTTCTGGTCCATGGCCTGTTAGGAACGAGGCCACACAGCAGGAGGTGAACGGCAGGTGAGCAAGAATTACCACCTGAGCTCCACCTCCTGTCAGATCAGTGGTGACATTAGATTTTCATGAGTGTGAATCCTACTGTGAACTGTGCATGTGAGAGATCTAAGTTACACGTTCCTTATGAGAATCTAATGCCTGATGATCTGAGGTGGAACAGTTTCATCCTGAAACCATCCGCCTGCCCTGTCCATGGAAAAATCGTTTTCCACAAAACCAGTTCCTTCTGCCAAAAAGGTTGGGGACTGTTGCCCTAAAACACAAACCCTAGGCAAAATTTTTACAGTAACTATTTTATTGATTGTGCAACCCAAGAAATTCTTGAGGTTGGGAAGAGGATGAGAAGTTAGTAGGGGAAGGAGGGACAACAAATATAAGGAGTGGCATTGTTAGACAGGTCAGAACTTTGAGACAATTGCTCTGTCTAGTGAGCCATCTTCAAAGGGGTTGCTTCTCTGACTGTTTACCTTGGGAGAAGCAGGGAGAAAAATAATATCTAAATAATATCTAAATAACACTGAAGGCTTGTCTCATGCCTTCAGTGTTCACCCCAGACAGCATTAATTACTGCAGCATCTTATACTTCAGCAGTATTCAGGAACCCAGGGAAAGAAAAGGAAGGACTTCCAATGTAGGTTGAAAGTGAGGCACCCATAGGGCATATCCAGCAAGGTTTTCAGTCTGTTGAAATGAGAGTGGGCACAGAATGGGAATATTACCAGCCACTGAGTGCCACCCAATTTAGAAAGCAAAGCAAGTGTGCAGAGATGGGTAATGCATAATCTGAATTTGGTACAATCCATTCATAGTGCAGGTCAGATCTGCTCACACTGTACTACGATATTCAATTCTCACCTTCGATTCTTCCCTGAGAAGAAGCATAAAAATTTAATCTTTAAGTATTATTGTTAACTGCTGCCTCCTTAAACAAACAGCACACAGACAACTTTATATTATGTTATCCAATGAAGTTACAGCTGGCCACCTTCAGCTATAATTTTGGGTCTTGCTGAATGGGGTGATCCAGACCTTGGATTTAGGGGTTATTATTCCTAAGTTACTTTGAGCTTCTGGACATGTGTTCTATGCGGTTAACATTTTTTTATTATCACTGAATACAAAAGCACCAAGACATATCCCAGTGAATCTACTGGGTTCCAGACATATTTCTTTTTGCCCTCACTATGTAGTAGCAACTATAGCTTCTCATGATTATCAAGATCGATGACTCCCACTAGTACATTCCATCTGCACCAGGATTAGGAGCTCAAGGTAGTTCATACATTTCTTCTCCACTTGGAAAATAACATCTCTAAACTAGCAAAGTCTAAGGCAGGGTGGAAAGCACTATATTTTGAGCATGGGAATATGTTAAAAATAACTGGGAATAATGGCAAGCAGGGGATCCCACTTCTACTCCTTACCTCCCAGACCTATGCTTCAGTGCATATAGTGTACACTAGAAGACAACACCCTGGGATTTTTTCTCTGAGCTGGCTCCTTAACTGAGTCTTCATTCTATCAGTGTAGTAGAATACTAGTAGTAAGCCCCACGAATCTTGTGATTACCTATGCATCAACATACCTCCTTTGTGATAAAGCAGGCTCCTTGTTCTAAAGCAATCCCACATGAAATGCTCTGTTGAGATATCAGGCATTTTTTAAGCCCTTAAATGATGGTGTTGATTGAAAAACTGTGCAAAAAAAGGCAAACTCATATCCAGAATGTGCATTTGTTCTGATAAGGACAATCCTTATTCCCTTTCTGGTGGAAGGGGTCTTATTTCATAGCTCTGTCACCAAGAGGCTGCTTAAACTCCCGAAAAGTAGTGTCACATGGAAGACTCTGCAATGGATATGCACTGCTCTCAGACTGGACATTCAGCAATGGTAGCAATAGATCAGCCTTGGTGAAGACGAATACATGAATACATGTCATTAGCCTCATGCATAGCCTTAATCCTTCTGCTATGACCACCCTGGTCATGTGCTCATTGTGCAAGCATTGCAATAGTCATCCTGTCTACCTTGTTGAAGAGATGCTCCCTGGAGATGGGTTCTCTCTGGTAGAAATTAATACTAGTTACACTTATCTGCATGTGTTGTGCCCACTCCTATAGGATCTTCCATATACTTCCTTCCCAGAGTTCTTTAGCCCCGACTTATTAGTCTTTTTCATTTGAGGACTCTGACCATTGAGTCTGGCCACTGCCACAACCCAGGAATCAACATATTATCTGTACCTTTTGTCATCTCCCATTTCATGCAAAATGAATGACTGAGTTGACTGCTTAAAACTCTGCTCACCAGGAGAAGTTCCCTTTGTTGCTGTCTCTAAGGCCAACCCTGAGTGGGGCTGAAATGTGGTAGTGGTCTACTTCAAGTTTGCACCAACATTTTGGGCTGTCTCTTCTGTTAATCAGATCAGTTTCTTCCCTTCTTTGATGTTGCACACGAGGAACTTCCTGTTGCACATTTTGCCTTCTATGATTGAATGTCATTTACTAATTTATAATATTTATTGCTTTTCCCTTCTATGATTGTATGTCATTTGCTTATTTATAATATTTATTGCTTTTCCCTTTAAAACATAATGTAAGCTCTATGAGGGTTACTTTTTCAATTTTTTATTAACTGATAGGTCTTGCTTGCCTAAAAGGACCTGGCATATAGTGCTGCATACATTCAATAAATGTTTGGTAAAAGAAAGAATAAATGAACTCTCTCTATCTCCTTTCCCTGCTTCAATTTTGTTCATAGTATGATTCACTATGCAACATTATACATTATAATATGTTTTTTTTTCAGTCTTTCCCTCCTCCACTAAAATATAAAACACACAAGAGGTTGTCTGCTTTGTTTAAAGCATTATCCCCAACACCTATAGAAGAGCCTGCTTTGACAAATACTTTTTGCATTAATTAGCAAATAGACAAGGTTTTTCTCATTCCCTGTCACCAGGTAACACCTAATGCCCTGTAGGTTATATAACAGGCGCTCAGTGAAAAAGTTGTGATACAAAATAAATGCACCAAAATTTTGCCTCTGGCCCAGAGGTGGCCTCTCTCAATACTACTCTGATCTTTCAGAAGTAGAATTGACAAGAACTAACAAGATAACTTTGCCTCCTTAAACTTGTTCCTCAGGAAGTTTCAAAGGAAAATTCAAATAATTTATCAACCAAAAAAGACTAGAAATTCTCATTTTTTTTACACACATAGCTTTTATTTTGAATCCTGTCGATTTATAGTGTAAGGCTTCCGTGATTCCTATTACCTTATTTCATTGGGAAAAAGAAACAAAACAAAACAGAAAAAACTGGAAGCCAATATCTTCTGAAGTGATGTGGGAAGCTAGGAGGCTCCTTTGTTACCTTTACTTCACCTCACATGTATAAAGAATTCCATTCTTAAAGGACATCACATTTTTTAAAACACTGTTGTATTTTATTATATGCATATCTGGAATAGAAAATCTGACAAGAGGGCAGCCCTGAACAATTTTCCCTATCATTACGTAGAAGATGAATATGGAGTTAATTTTCACTTTTGACACATTATATTGAGATTTTAAAATTCATTCTGTCTAAGTTGGGTTTGGAAGAAGTCTAATCTCACAGTTTCATTTGAGGACAGCTCTATGAATATTTGTGAAAAATGAATATTTTATTTGCCTTGAAAACTATGATTCAATTTGATGAAATGAAAAAAATTTATGGATAATGTTTAATCACGACTGTCATATAAGAGCTAAGCTGTCAGCAGGATGCTATGACACCTAGAGTTAGTTACTTCCAGCTGAGAGAGGATCCACACAGCCTCTAATAGCTTAGGAAGCTGTGACTTGATATTCTGGCTCATTTAATAGATTCATTGTGCTTCATGTTCTATATGAAATTCTGTTTGAAACCAGCCTAAATATGTTTTAATGTTTAATGTCATTATATTCTTTATACATCTACTTTTTAAAATGAATGCAGAAATATTTTTCCAAAATTTAAAAAGGCATTAATTGACATGAACATCATTTTTATCATGAAGCTTAAAGAGATGGTTTGTTAAGTTAATCAATATGTGATCACTATGATAATGTTATATACTCAGTCTTTTGCTGGGAACTATAGAGTTATCAACAATATATGGTTCATGTCCTCTACTCCTGAGGAATTCCTAAGTGGAGAGAGAAAAACTATGTAACCCTACAGTGTAATGTATGGAACATACTTACTTGTGAATGTATGTGGCAAAGACTAGGAACAGTAGCACTGATTTTAAGTACAATAATTAAATAAAAGTGATTATTTTGCTTTTTTTTCTCCTTAATGTCTAGGAACTTTTGGTATTCTTCCCTTCCATTTATTAAGCTACATGCTCATTATTTCCTTGTTTCTTAGCAATAGCCAGACTTTAATCCAATTGGTCATTTACTACTTTCAATTCAATGTGATTCTTTTACTCTTCTCCTACTCAATATTTTTCAATATTTTGACAAAAATTTAGACAATATGCCTATTAACTTTGTAGATGCTACAAAACACAGTAATTTTTACATTTTATAACAAAAATCAAATTTAAAAATGAACAAGCAGTTTGCAGAGATTTAAATAGCAAATGCACATTTAACAAGTATAAGAGTAAGTTTGGTACTTGGTTACAAAATACCAATTTCACATGTAAATAAAGGATTTTTTAACAATAGCATTGTGAAAAAGAATTGAACCTGAGACCTCATATTCAGTTTAAGACTATGTGATATTTTGTCCAAGAAAAAAATAAATATGTTATGCAAATGGAAACTGAGTGTTTAGAATACCGAGGAAGATAATTCTGTTCTACTATAGACTGCATACGTTATACCTGAATTCTTATGTTTGGATATGGACTCCCTACTTTCAAAACACAGGAATATAGTATTATTCATTTAGAGGCTCGATATTATTATTATAAAATGCATGGTTGAAGAAAATATAAGTATACAGGTTGAAAAAGAAAATTAGAAAACACTCTAAGCACTGAACTACAATTTTAGACCTGAATAAGGAAAACTTTTTTCAAGAGCCAGAAATATTCAAAAACTGAGTTGGCTACTGGAAGAAAATACTAATGTAGTGGTCTTGGGGTTTTCAAACATGCACCAGAAAACCAAATACTAGATCTGTATTGTAGAAGAGATTTGGGCAATGTTTAGTTAGTTGAAATAAATGTCCTTAAGTATGAAATTCAGTGAGTCTATCATATCTTTTATACATATACATATGTATCTTTTAATTGCCCCCAACCAACAATAAATATGTCAGTTCTCATATCAAAACTGCAATCACTTCTTCATCTATTTGCTTTTTATTATTTTTGCATAACATTTTTAAACTGTGGTTTTCAAAACTATAGTTACAGGGTAGAACACTAATACACTTCTCTCTTCCAAAACCCCCTTTGTAATTTATTATGTGAAGTTTGTTTTCCTTATAATACACAGTCTTTGAAACTTAGTTTCCACACTTATTTATTTATATTAACACTTGAGTCATGCTAACTCTCTAATCACTGGTATTCAAACCCAAAATTTAAATTGTTGCTTTTCTTAGCCTATTTCACCTCCCCAAGTCCTCTGTCTCTATATTCAACCACCCTTCAAGACCTATCTTCAATTGTATAATTTCCAGAAAGACTTTGGGGATACTGACACTAAATTTTTTTCTCATTTTTGAATCTCTACCATGCTTAATAAAACATTATTACCACGCTATTTACTTTCATGTGCAGATCCTTGAGTAAAAAATTATCCCTGAACTTCATGTCCAGAGACCTGGGTTCTACTTATGACTGTACTTCCATTTAGCTGTGTAGCCTCAATAAAGCATTGAAACTTTCTGTATGACAGGAACTTTATCCATACAATGCAGATATATTTCAATTATAATAAATATTGAATGAATCTTTTTGCCTCAGGATCATTCTTATATTGTTGACTTGTTTAATTATTATAATATAAATTCATCATGAGAAGAGTGGTCTTCCATTGCCTTGTTTCCCCATAATACTTATCATTTAACTATTCACAAAATGTCCACTTGCATACTTTCAATAAGCACAAGGTCAAATAAATTTAAAACTAACAAGTATTTTATAGTTTCATTCACTCTTTTTATTTGCTGACACTTTGATATATTTTCATTCCTCAAAATAATTTCAGTATCTTGACTTTTAAATATTTTTTCAGGATATTAATGAGATGTCTCAATCTTAAATATTGTTTTCCTTATAAATGCTGTGTAAAGAATATATTTTATGCATCTTAAAATTATCCTTACAGTATAAACAAAGGTTTATTTCCCTAAACTTATGACCAAACTGAGCAAATAAGAGAAATGCAATGCACTATTTTGCTCATTGATCACATGAATTGTCTCCAGCTTTGAATCTCTGTCCTCATTTATTTTTTATTTTTACTTATTTACTTTTGAGACAGGGTCTGTGGGTCTTGCTGTCACCCAGGATGGAGTGCAGTGGCACGATCATAGCTCACTGCAGCCTCAAATTCCTGGGTTCAAGTGATCCTTCTGCCTTGGCCTCAGAGTAGCTGGCACATGGGACCACAGACACACACCACCACTCCCTGCTGATTTTTTTTTTATTTGTTTGATTTTTAGTAAGAGACAAGTTCTCACTATGTTGATCAGGCTGATCTCAAACCCATTAGCTGAAGCAATCCTCCTGCCTCAGCCTCCAGGTGCTGGGATTACAGGCATGAGCCACTGCACCCAGCCTGGCCTTACTTTTTAATTCAGAAATTAAATACACCACTTTGAAACAAGATAATATATCAACCTCTAGTAACAGATTTCTTCTGAAAAGGTGTTCCTAACAAAACCTGGAAATGACCATACCCTGGCACCTGCTGAGGGGCTCTGCCTGTCAATGGCATGGCTTCAACTGGAAGTCAATGATAACAGATATGTCATTATCCCTATGTGATATCCAGGATCTAACCCTGTCCATTCTAGTTGCTTCTGATGTTCCACCTTAGAATAATTGAATTCTAATGGATAATGACCAATTACTTTTCACTCATTAGTTTGAGAAGTGGTGTCCTCACTCACATGAAACGGAGAGCTTGCATGCTTATGTTCAATAAACTAACAGGCATGGCTACCAGTCACCACTACTAAGGAGGAGTCTTTGTCAAATTAGAAGTACTATTTCAGGGATTTGTGCATGTAGATTCACTGTTGAAAGAAAATGATCTATTGTCATTCCAGACATCCCATCTTGCTTCTGCATAATATTTTCAGACTACAGAAAAGAATAAAGAGAAGATAGATCTCTTTAGTGTGTTGTTCTTTTACAGCTGCCCAATGCTAAAGCAGATTTCAAAAGTTGCAGGCTATCCTTTTTTTTCCCAAACATAATTAGAGCACTTAGCCAAACATGTATGCATATTGTAGCTGTTGACTATTGCCGAAAACACAAAATTTCAGAGGCACAAAATTTCATTGGCATACAAAATAAACATTTGCTTTTTATCCATCCATGGTCAACTGGGACAGCTCATTCAAATCCCACTCTTGGAATGGTGCCACAATTCCACTGGATGGCTCTACTTTCAGGTCTGAGTCCACCTGAGCTTGGTTAGGGAGGCTTGGCTTCACGTAAGTTCATTATTCCTGAAGGGATAGCAGCTACCCCAGGGTATCTTTTCTCACAACGATAACAGAGCAAGAGGGAAGAATGAGATGTCTTTGAAGGCTTAGACTAAAAACTGGTGCACTTTCACTTCCAGCAATATTTTTTGTTTAAAAAGAAATCAAATCAAACAGCAGTGAAGTAAAGGGACAGGAACATGTACTCCAACTTTAGTGGGAGGAAGTTAAAGTGTGTGTATATGGTGTTTCTTAAAGTTTAAAGATCCTTTTGATAAAAACAACAAATCATAAAAACACTCTAGTAGATGAAAGACAGAATTCTTTTACTGACAACTCCAAATTTTTCAGGCAGGGCCACCTAGGGAGTTGCATCCAGAGAAAGGGTAACAGCAAGCTGAAGCTATGGTGGGGCAATTTATATAACAAGTAGAGTGGATTCAACTAGCTTCCCAGGATCCTTGTGCATTGGCTAACTTGAACAATTTCTCAGGCTCCAGGGCTTAGGGAGTGTGTCTAGTTGCCTGATACCTGGCCCTGGGGCAACTGAGGAGCCTACATAGTGGCCAAGAGTTTGAAAGCTCAATAAGGGGAGTGATTGGCTTGGGGAGTGGACTTAATCAGCTGCCAAGAAGGGAAACTGACTACCCTCTAGCCTGGGCCTCAAAACTGGGTCCAGACAGTGATTAAACAACAGCAGAAACTGTTACAATCTACCGCTTAAAGTCTTGACATCAGTTTTGAGCTTATTTGGCATATTTCAATGGCCAAATAGTAGCAAAGACTTTCACAGAGTAGAGTATAAATTGTCCAAAGAGCATAGAAGACATTTTATTATGGGAGTAAATAGGAGAAAAACATATAGAAGAATAAAGAGTCCTTGTAGGCCAGTCCATCACCAAGATCTCCATTTTATGGCATTACTAAGAAAACAGAGCTGGAATTTCTGGGGTCCCTAACAAGATCTTGGTGGAGTTGTAAAATGTTTTAAAAGTACCAATTATGTGGTTTTATGATAATAATATCTTGATGTATCCTTGGGTCAAGGTGGTAGTTCCAGTAGTTACCTTGTAGAGGGTATACAGTTAGTAAAGCATATGTAAAGGTTAGTGATATTTGTTTGAAACCAAGTGAAGAGGTGGTTGTGGTCATGTTCAGAAATGCAGAGTGGGAGGTCGTGGTGGTGAGTTGAAGTGGGAAGAGTAGGGAGAAGGCACTGGGAAATGGGAAGTTCACTCCCCAAGGGAGTCAATGGGTGGACTGATATGAGGTAGTTTCCTTTCTGGGGAAAGTAGTAATCTTCTTTAATGTTTAGAAAGGCACAGATGCTAGTAACTGCTACAAGTTCTTCCTTAAGGCATAGGAGTTTAGGAGTGTATGTTTTTACAGAGAGCCATGAGTACACACAGAGGTCAGATATATGTAACTTTCAAAATAGCCAAGGGAATTGGGAACAATATTTAAAATTAGTGTTACATATGTTGGGCCTTGAATTAAAAAATTAAATTATGGGGCAAGATACAGATGCATTTAGGAATTCATTTGTCATTTTGTAACTTATATAGGAGTTCTTTGATAGGCCCATTTAGGTCTCCCAATTAAATTAGCTGTCTGGGACCTATCCCAGAGAGAAAAGTTCCATTGAATGCCTTTTGTAAGAGCCCACTATTGTGTATTCTGAAATGTGAAATGTGTGGCTTAGTCACTGTCAGTAATGTCTGACACGTCAAAGGGAATAAGAAGTATCCCAGGAAGACTCTGTATTGTGGCCTTAGTATAAATAGCAACATGTGTAACCTTGATATATATTTTGGATACTTGTGAAGCAAGAGATTCTCAAAGTTCTTTACTCTGAAGGGGACAACTCTCAGGCAATGTTTCAAAAGTTTGCAAAAATGTGGAGATGGAGCCATTTGCTGACTATGATATCTAGTGTTAAGATGACTACCTAGTTTGGGCAAGCGACATGACCCTTGGGTTTCATTCTTTATCTGGAACATTCTGGGTAAAAAATGGAAAGCAGCAATATTTCCCTGTGCTCCATCATGTATGACAGTGACAATGCTATTGTACACTCTACAAACTCCCACTGCTGTTCACTCAGTTAATCATAAGTGGCTCTCAGATATCTAAAGGGCTTGGAAGAGGGGTAAACTTCTCCAACACCATGGCATCTGGCAAGCGACTGAGGACATTGGAGGCCATCCCCTCTTGCAAGTGGAATATGCCAGAGGGCTGAGATTTACTCCATTCTACATCGAGAAGTCCTTTGTAGCTGTGCCCAACTTGTCTGGTTCTGCTTCTGTGACTCAAAACATAATTGGCAGCTTGATATGAAGAGTCACAGACTTAAGGTCTGTAAAAGCCTCTATTTCCAGGAGATACCAGTATGTGGCCAGCATGTTCCTCTCTAATGGAGACTAGCACAAGAATGAGTAGGATTGGCCAATTTGCATAATTTCATTGGCTCAGGGACATAAAGGCTGTCACTAATTGTCTGATAGCTGGCCCTAGAGTGATTTAGGCAGGTGCTTACTGGTCTCAAGTGTGAAAATACAGTAAGGCAAATACTTAGCTGTTCGAAAGGGGGAACTGACCAGCCTCTAGTCAAAACCACAAAACTGGGTCAAGATAGCGTTTCAAATAAACTACATAGGGGTATGAGTGAACATTTGGAGCCAAAAAATCAATCTGTTATACATAGGCACTACTACAAAGATTCTTCAGTATCCAAATTATTATAATTTAAGCTGAAGAGTGTGTTGGGGATGGTGGTAGAATAAACTCACCAAATAACTAATAACTAATGGCTACTAGGTAACAGAAACTATGTGAAACACTGAGCTGAAAATGACTGCTGCTTAACAATGAGATCTTTCCTGTTTTTCATAGCCCCTTTGAAAATATTTTATTGCTAAATCTTGTATACTATACCGACAATTAACAGGCTTTAAATATACATAATTATAGCCACTTTTAAAGTAATAGCTTAATTGATAGCAGTAATATGTTTCCAAAATCTATCTAAACTATGCTTTCTTGGCCCCTTTTTTTTTTCTATTTTGACTTTTTAAAACTTCTGTATTCAGTCCCTCAATCTAAACAACTATTACCTCAGTAGACTTGCAACCAGGTCTTTATGTTCTTGTAATTTGAAACTTTTAAATTTTAACAACTATTTGGAAAATCATCATCTCCTTTATTTGTTTATGATGAGTTACTTAATATAAATTTGTTTATATTTTATCATAATCACATATCAAAATGACTTTGTTTTATTCTCCTTTTCACTTAATAATGTTTATTTCATTTTTTTCCCTTACTAAATTAATTGAAAATTCTAGGCTTTTATTTACTGAGCATAGTTTGATGATTATATCATTACATGTATCCATGTTTATTTGTATTATGAAAAATTACACGAAGTCTGTAGCATGTGTTTACTTTTGAAGTAGGAAGTATGGGAAATGACAAGTCTTTGCTTGCTTTATAACATGTTATATTACCATGTGTCTAAGGACATATCTTCCTTTCGTTCTATCAGAGACAGATCTTTCTTTAATTCTACAGGCTTAGTCAAATGTCATAACTTCCAGTAATTCTGGTAAGTACACCAACCTATCCACCAGTTCTTGATAGTTCACCCAATTTTCTATTTTTAAATAAAATGATGAGTTAAATATATTTCCAAACAAATAAAGCATTTATATATTTCAGTTTAAACAAAGCATTTATTTGTGGTGAAAAAGAAAGATGATGATGTATCTGGAATTCTAGCTGTTCTTAACAACGTGGGACGAAGGAAACTTTCAGTACATGGGTTTAATTGTCGATACAAAGATGGGCTGCTCAGTCCTTCAAGGAGGGACTTACAAACCAGCTTGAAACTCCTGCAGGGTCTGCCTCAACCACAGACAACCTATTAGAGGTCACACATGTGTCAGGGCAGCTCCATCTGGTGAATGAATGAGACAGAGAACAAAGGCCTTTGCCATTTTGACCTTAAGAGGGTCACTTCCGCAGGCAATACTCCATAACTCGTTGCTAGCTTTTCTGATGTTTTGTCAAATCTGCATTTTTGTTTGACTCTTCCTTAGCCTGATACTGATTTCTGACATCTCTCTTCACATGTAGTGAGTCCTAATAAACATCCTGTACCCCATACTTTGCTTCTATTTCCAGAGAACACAATTGGTGACATATCAAAGTAGGAACATTCTGGACTCTATGATTATAGTCCTAATTCATATCTTGAATTTCAAGCATTAGCAACTTCAGGAAACCCAAGTGGTTCAGCATATTTTCACTATAAATCAAATATGTAAAGTCGATGTACAATCACTGGCCCTTGTTGGAATTATTTAGAAAGTCCAAAGTCTCTTAGAAAGCAGAAAATATATCTATGGATTTCTGCTTATTAATGCATTCATTTAAATATCTGAGCATTATTCATTCACTCACTCACTCATTCTTTCAAACAAATTTTATTCCCAGCTGTATGCTGGCTGTCTTGTTAAGTGCAGGGATACAGAGATAAATACATGATCTCTGTCATTAAGGCACCTAATGATGACAGAGATAAATATAATACATAATTTCGAAAGCACGTGTATTAGAATTAGTTTTAGTGTTTTATCCATTTTTGTTTCTGTTTTTGTTTGGCTGCTGTAACAAATTACCACAAGAATAGTGGCTTAAGACAACACAAATTTATTGCTTGCAATTCTGGAGGGATGGAAGTCCAAATTCATTCTCACCCGGCTAAAGTTAACAATTTTGTGGGGCTGGTTCTTTCTAGAGGCCTTGAGAGAATCTGTTTTCTTGTCTTTTCCAATATTCAGTAGCTGTCTGCATTCGTTAGTCAATAGCCTCTTCCTCTTATTCCTCCAGTCTTTCTTTCACTTCACGTCTCTTATTACTTACCCTGACCCTCTTGCCTTCTGCTCATATGGACTCTTGTGACTACATTGGGCCTACCTAGATAACCAGGATGATCTCCAAAACCCAAGAGCCTTAATTTAAGCACAGCTGCAATGTCCCCTTTACCATGAAAGGCAAAACTTATAGATTCTGAAGATTAGAACATTAACCTTGGGGGCCATTATTCAGCCTACCACACTACTTAACTATGTGGGTAGAGACAAGGGCAGGTACGAAGTCAGAATATTGCTGCTAAGAGCATCCTAAGGTATTGAGGAAGGTGCTGAATAGTAGGTCAGTAAACTTTGCCAAAACATAGCTTTTAAGTAGAGTGTTGAAAGATAACTAAATGTTTGTTAGTGAAGGGTACAGCAGAGGTGAAGTGTACCTTCTAGGATGAGAGAGTAGCTTCTGCCAAGGCATGGAAATGACAGGAAATATAAGTATTCATGGAATTCTAGCTGTCAGCCACAAGACACATACTTTTCTTACACTTTATTTCTGAAAAATAGCATGTTTCTTACAATTAATGAGTATATTTAATATAGTCATTAATTATTCCTAAATATTTTATGTTTTCTATTAAAATATGAATATAATGTAATTTAATAAACTTGGTTTATATGATGCTAAGAAAATACTGAGAGATGAGACCAAAGAACAAAATATGTGTCAAACTCATTACAGGTTGTAACCATGATAAGGAACTTTTAAACCATACTGGCGATCACACAAAGTTTTTGATTTTCTTGAAGAAGTTATTTCACATAGTTTGATTTTAGTTTTAGAGAAATCACATTGACTGCATGGAAGAAAAGTATGGGAGAGGAGCAATAGTATAGACAGAGAAAAGAGATGTTTGCCATAATCTGGCAAATATTGAACCCTGAAGGAAGAAGGTGGTAGGCTGTTGATTGAGAGGCGGTGAGACATAGAATGACCAATTTTGGTAAATGATTTGTTGTAGGTAGTGGGAAGATAAGAAAAGGTACAGTAATTTCAACGGCTCCCTGATTTGGGCAATTAGGAGAATGATTGTACTTTTTGTTGAGAAAAGAATTGAGGGACAGATGTTTTTTCAGAGAGGAATGGGTGAATAACAATATGTATGCATTGTATTTAGTTTTTGAGGCATGTGTGAAATATATAAGTTTAAATATTCATCAGTATTTGTATATAAGTGTATGAAGCCCAGGAATGGGTTTTTAGATGAAGATACAGATTGAGCAATCATTCAGTGGTAAGTTAAATCTAAAATGAAAAGCAAACAAACAAAAACTCTTCTATGTACTGTCAACATTTTGACACCAAATATGTGGGTTTTCCAACCAACCAATTATGACATTGGGTGCTCAGAGTTAACACAGATCCCATAGGTTAGGGGCTCAGACCCCCAAGACTGCCAACCCCCCCATACACAATTCAGATGCCAACTGAAATTTCAGGGTGTCATCTGTGCTTCTGACCAACTATCTCTAAATCAAGCGTTTCCATGACCTCCTCCTTGGGTTGAATAATTTCATAAAACAACTCACAGAAATCAGGATAAAAGCTTACTTGCTAGCTTATCAGTTTATTACAAAAGGATACAACTCAGGAATAGTCGGATGGAAGAAAATCATACGGCAAGGTGTCCAGGAGAGGTGTGGAGCTTCCATGCCTTCTCCCAGCACCTCCACAGGTTTGCCAACCCGGAAGCTCTCTAAATTCTCTGAACCCTGTGCTTTTGGGTATTTACAGAGCCTTAATTCTTAGACAATATTGATTAAAACCATTGACCTTTGGTGAATAGGTTCCCATAGTCTCTCTTCCCTCCCAGAAGGTCAGGGGTTGGGGCTAAAATTTCCAACCCTTTAATCACAAGATTGGTTCTCCTGGCAACCAGTCACCATCCTGAGGCTATCCTGGAACCCTCAGCTACTAGTCATCTCATTAGCATACAATAAAACACTTATTATTTTGGAGAGTCCAAGGATTTTAGGTATTTTGTGTCAGATAATGGAGACAAAGACCAAATATATATACTTCTTAATATATCACAAAATCACAAAACCTTAAGCAGTGACGACACAATATGAAAGAATGGCATGAACATTTCACTTTGCTTATTTGGGCTGTTCTGGGGTCAGCTTTCTCTCATTTTGGAGGACTGTCCAATTTTGTGTATTAATATGAGATGCAGTGTTCTGCTTCTCACCATGGTAGTATAACTTGGACTAACTTTTAGTTCTCTGCCCACTGATGACCTAAGTTTTGGGAATGTGACTTGGGCTCAGCCAATCAGTTGCTCCCACACAAAACTTTAATCTGGAGTTAGAGGCACAAAGAAGAAGGGTTAGGGCTCATTTATAAGAAATTTGTTGTGTTCAGTGAGAGCAGCACCAGGACCGTAGTGTGAGATTTCTACCGTGGTAGGGGCAGAGTCCTAACCAGACTGTTAAATACTTATTTCCTGACCTACTTTTAATTTTTTACCTCTTTTCAAAGTCTGATCGTATAGTTGGTCATTAATTCTCAAATTCTTAACATTATTCTCATAAAAACCCTTTACTGCCTCATCTAGCTATAGTTGACTTTTCTTCTTACAATCATGATTCATAAAGAAGACGTATAGAATGAAAAAAGAAATAGGAGGAGAAATTAGAAAAAAAAATTGATGGTTACAGATAATACGAAGAACCTCATATTTGATGGTTACTATCAGTCTGAGCCTTTATGTTTTCCAGTAAGAATCTTTTACTTTTAACCTAACAATTGTGAATTGCCATACTTCCTTCAAACAAAACAGCTTCACATGCAAAAAACAAGCAATGATAGTCTTGGAATTTTCCAAGCTGGTTTGATGAAAAAGTATAACTGGCACTACTGATTTTATTGCTTAGGAATGGATTAATCTCTTTATAAGTTTGCTTTCACTGCCCATGCATATATTGACAAAAGGGGGTGTTTTATTCAGTTTAATAAAGAATTTTATATGTGCTTCTGTGTGTATATAAGTACAAAAAGGCTTACTTAATGTATTTATATTTTTCCAATTCTGAAAGACCTTTATGGACTATAAATATTGATTAAAGTGATATTTTTTCTCAGAAAAAGATTGCTTAACTATACCCATAAAATGGCAATTTGACGGAGTGTATGGATCTTCTGCAAATACTGCTACACAGGATTAATTTTAAAATGTAATCCAGCTCATATATCATTAAAACTTTTTCTTCAATAGTAAAAAGGTCCCATTTTCACATTACAAAGATCAAAACACATAATTTTCATATTGTTTTAAATGGAAATGAAAGATTTCCTAGATAAAATATAAAGAATACAAAATTGGAATATGAATTATTTCATGTTTATGAAAGCATCAAAACATAATATGAATTTTCTAGTTTAGTAGATCATGTTGAGATTTTTGCCCACAAATAAACTTTTGGGTTATTTAATACAAGTATATGAACATCTAATCATTCCTTTATTCACTTCTGCCAATTTTATTTTGTGCCTTCCATGTGGCAGTAACTGCATTAAGTATAGAATGATACATATATAGAGATTTTTCTAGTGAAGGGCTCAAGGTTTGAGTTGATGGTAGAAATTGATTCAGTTATAAATAGGTATAAGGCAAAATAGAGAATGAATGTATAGTCAGAAAATTTTAAAAAATAGAGTAAGAAACTGTAATATAAAACTTAAATAGTTAAATGGATTTTATTAGTCTATAAAGTCAAGGATTTGTCTATTTAGAAAAGGAGCAGGCTATACCATTTATCAATATTTTCCTACTTTAATTTCAAAATAATTCACATTTATTAGAGTGGATATAATATATTCGCACAAAGGAAACTTAACATGAGGAGAACTCCTTAAGAATTATAAAGTATTATTCAATCACAAACCTAAATGACCTAAAACGTAAAGTGCAGAGAAAGCAAAAGGCAGGTGACCTAGAAGGTAATAATACTTAAGGGAAATATTCTGTCAGTTTCTAGGTGCCCTTGAATGCTCACACTCTTATGTTTTTGCCGTGAGCAATAAGCTGGAGACTCTATTTTTTGTTCTTTCTATCAAAATAAGACTGATTTTCTACGTTATAATTCCCATTGCCTTAGAATTTCATTACTTGAGTTATAGTAGTTAAGCAAGTCTTTTAATTATAGCATAAAATGCTCTAGTTACAATAGTTTAGGGAATATATTAATCACTCACTGACATTTACATATTTAAATGTCTTGTGCTCCACATACAATTCTAAAAAGAGAAAAGAGGTTTTTTAACATTTCTTAACTGAGTTACTTTAAATAAGGTGATTTTAAGAGCAGTATCTGTTTATATCAAGCATCAAACATTTTGGTGGTGACAAGTTATATGAATGTATTTAGAATAAAGGTTAAATGCCAATTTCATTTTTCAGATTTAATAAGTAGATTTCAAGTATAAAAAATTATTATTGAATAAAGCCACATATTTTAAAAGTCTACTTAATATCTCCACTGAGAGTCTATATTTAAGTGGAGAACTAAATACTTAGATTTCACAATAAACAAACAATGCTTTACATTTGATTCTTAATTCTAATATAGTTAAAATTAAATGTAATATAAAAGCTGTATAAATATTTTTAAGTTTACATAATGAGGCAAATGAAATTGAGTATTGTGTATGCATGTAAATGTACACGTGTTTTGGTTGCTGTTTATTTTTTGTTTTTCTTCAAAATCAATAGACAAATATCAAAGCTTTCAGATTCATTGATGTGATAACATTTGATATTTCACTTCAATGTGTAAATAATTTGACTGCAAATTTATACGTGTGTTTTATTCAAGGGTTTTCTGATTTTTAAAAAAATCTTGCTGGGCCACAAATATTGCCAGGCTTTGTCACAATTTTTTGTTTGTTTGTTTTGTTTTTTGTTTTTGAGACGGAGTCTTGCTCTGTTGCCAGACTGAAGTGCAGTGGCGTGATCTTGGCTTACTGCAACCTCCACCTCCCGGGTTCAAGCGATTCTCCTGCCTCAGCCATCCGAGTAGCTGGGACTATAGGCGTGCACCACCATGCCCAGCTAATTTTTGTATTTTTAGTAGAGACGGGGTTTCACCACGGTGGCCAGGATGGTCTCAATTTCTTGACCTCATGATTCACCCGCCTTGGCCTCCCAAAGTGCTGGGATTACAGGTGTGAACCACCAAGCCCGGCCTGTCACAAGTTTTTAGTGTTCTATTTTAATACAGAAATTAGATAAATCCAAAGAGAAAGACATTTCATATGTGGTAGAGTTGTCGGAAGAAATGAGAGTCTTATAAATAACTTTAAAAATTGTGAAGAAATAAAGACAAAATAGTCCTATGCAGTTTGATTTAAATATATTCTTAATAAGAGCTACTTTTGTGAAAACCAGAATATTGAAACATGTAGATATGGATCTTCATTAGTGACTGACATAATATATTGTTATTGTTACTATTTTATTGTATCAGCCAACTAATATTGAGTGCTTTGTGTATCCTAAGCACTATGCTAAACACTGTACCAGTATTACCTGATATAATCATATTAATATTTATTATTTCACTTTTCATATGAAAAAATTGAAGCACAGATTAAGACACTCCGAAATCATACCTCTATTGATTATCAGCACCAGGATTTGAATTGAGGCACTCTGATCCAGAGAAGCTTTTGTTTCCATGAAGCTTATGTTGGGGAAAAATAATCAAATTGCCTGTACTCAGTTGTATAAATATAGGTTGGTTGTAGATGATTCTGGCTGATTCAACAGAAAAGAAATTTATTCAAAGGATATCACACAGTTTTCATAACAGTTAAGAATACAGAGGAAACAGGGCACCAGGGTAAGTACAGACCAAAGTCCAAAACCACTGCCAAAGTTGCAGCAAGGAGAACAGCACAAATTTGCTTGCTGTCACCCGCCACTAGATGCTTTTGTTTGGAGCCTTGAACTTGACTTACACTGCCACTGACATCAGCACCAGTGCTCTCTGTGTACTAGGAGGTGGACCTTGTGACCGTTGCTGAACTCAAAAGTCAGATGTTTCTGCTGTGAAATAGATACCTAATACAGAACCTGCTTCCTCATTCATTCCCTCCCAAATCATATGCTTGTAGTGTGGCTAGAGTTTCTGTTTCTCCTTGGTCCAGGCAGAATTTATGAAGCTTGCTATTTATCGCCTTAAAGATTAGAAGAATATTCATAAGGTATTAGATTGCCATAAGGTTGAACAAATCAACATTCAACTTCAAGGATTCAACATTGTTTTGTTTTCTTTTGGGATACCTCTGCAGCAGTTCAAATCTTATTTCTGCCCTTGGACAACCAGGTTTATAAATATTGCAGATTCTCCACTGACTGCTTTGATCCTATCTTCTATATTTATGTATACTAATTAGCATATAATAAAAGATTATGTTACAGAATCTCAAAATTAGTAATTATGAATTGAGATGGTGTTATACAGTACACTAACATCCAGAGACTTGTTTATTCCAAGGAAAATATTTAGAGATATTAAATGATATTTCTATCCTTTAGACATATACATTTTTTAGCTTACAGCCTGCTTTAGGCAAGCAACAGACTCTCAGGATCTGCTCCTACCAGGGTCTGAACATTTCCTCCCAGTTTTTAAAGAAACAAATTCAAATAACATTGTAACCTCCAGAGGAAAGTTCAAGCTCTTTTATAGTATTGTTTAAACAGTACAGCTGAGGAAACTAAAGACAGAGAAGTTAAATGCCTTGGCACTTAGTCTAGATTTACAATAAACTCCTCTCTACTTAGGACCCACTAACAGGGGCTGCATTTACACCAAAACCATGAAGGTGGCCCAAGTCATCACTGAGAAGTAGTACAAGCACCGAGGGAATGACTTCAACAGGAACAAGAAAGCGTGGAAGGAGATCCTAGCAGGAAGCTCCACAAGAAGATAGCATGTTACGTCTTGCATTGGATGAAGCAGGTTCAGAGAGACCTAGTGACAGCTATCTCCGTCAAGGTGCAGAAGGAGAGATCATTGAAGTAGATTTTCATGCAAAAAAAAAAATGTTGAAGTCTTTGGACTTCGGGAGTCTGTCCAAACTGCAGGTCACTCAGCCTACAGTTGGGATGAATTTCAAAACACCAGTTGGAGCCGGTTGAATCTTTCTGCTATGCTGTAATATTTTCAGTAAACCCAGAACAACAACAACAACAAAACACAATGGAGGAGAAGCAGCCAAGTCTCTTGGTTTACAGAGTAGCTCCTAATACCCCTTGCTGTCTGTCTCAGTGCCCAATGGGAAGATAGTCAAAACAATATTCACACCTGTGATTCATCTCTCTACATGCAGTGTGTGTGAATCTTTATATACTGCATATTAAGGATCTGTCTTTACAGATAAAAACTAAAGCATTGAAGGAACTCCTTGTTTTGACTTATCAAAGTCCTTAAGAAAATACTAGAAAATTATAGCCATTGTTTCAAATTTTAGCTTTATATTATCACTTGAAATGTGATGAAATGTGGCTGATAGATAATAATTCACTGATAACCTACAGACAATTCCCATCTTAAAATGGACCATTGGATTGAAGAATTAAATAAAATTGAGGGTTTTCCTTACATGTTTTGTCTAAAGAGCGAAGTAGAAACAACTGTTCATAGATCTTCATTGAGGATTCGCATGTGAAGTAAGTACTCCTAAACATAAACAGTGACTTATCAACCAGTTCCATAAATCATGAACAAAATATTTGTCCCAGAGAGACTATTTTTCCACCACATCTCTTGTAATAAACACAGAGCCAGTTCAGTTAAAATAGTTTAAGGGTGGACGGTTCAGGGCTTGCTGAGTGGCACTCAGTAAGAAAACCCAGCAGAACATTTACTTCTCTCTTTATTCCAGAGCATCAATGGCCAAGGCTGGAAGATCCCAGAACACTGAACAGACATTTGGTCTCTTATGGCCTGCCAATTTTCACAGTGGGTTCCAACGCTTTGGGTCAAACCAAAATAGACCTGTTAGAAAAATGTCGGTTGGAATACGCTAACAATAAGACAGAATAAATGTGATTATTTGGCCTCATTTTTATAGGACTTGAGTAATTTTATTATAACATTCTTGAGGGCTGGAAAATCTGAATGTTAGGACACCAAATATCTCCAGAAAACAAGTTTTATATTTCTAATCCTGCATAATAAACCTGGGGCCACTGCAGGCCTCATTAATAAAAACCTAATGGTATAACAATAATGAGGAGGAAATGCCAATGCCGCACAAATCTGTTGAGACTAAAATATTTCTCACCCCAGCAGGCTTGGTGCATTTGACACTTCATGATATCAGCCAAAGTGGAACTAAAAACAGCTCCTGGAAGAGGACTATGACATCATCAGGTTGGGAGTCTCCAGGGACAGCGGACCCTTTGGAAAAGGACTAGAAAGTGTGAAATCTATTAGTCTTCGATATGAAATTCTCTGTCTCTGTAAAAGCATTTCATATTTACAAGACACAGGCCTACTCCTAGGGCAGCAAAAAGTGGCAACAGGCAAGCAGAGGGAAAAGAGATCATGAGGCATTTCAGAGTGCACTGTCTTTTCATATATTTCTCAATGCCGTATGTTTGGTTTTATTTTGGCCAAGCATAACAATCTGCTCAAGAAAAAAAAATCTGGAGAAAACAAAGGTGCCTTTGCCAATGTTATGTTTCTTTTTGACAAGCCCTGAGATTTCTGAGGGGAATTCACATAAATGGGATCAGGTCATTCATTTACGTTGTGTGCAAATATGATTTAAAGATACAACCTTTGCAGAGAGCATGCTTTCCTAAGGGTAGGCACGTGGAGGACTAAGGGTAAAGCATTCTTCAAGATCAGTTAATCAAGAAAGGTGCTCTTTGCATTCTGAAATGCCCTTGTTGCAAATATTGGTTATATTGATTAAATTTACACTTAATGGAAACAACCTTTAACTTACAGATGAACAAACCCACAAAAGCAAAAAATCAAAAGCCCTACCTATGATTTCATATTTTCTGTGTAACTGGATTAAAGGATTCCTGCTTGCTTTTGGGCATAAATGATAATGGAATATTTCCAGGTATTGTTTAAAATGAGGGCCCATCTACAAATTCTTAGCAATACTTTGGATAATTCTAAAATTCAGCTGGACATTGTCTAATTGTTTTTTATATACATCTTTGCTAGAATTTCAAATTTTAAGTATGTGAATTTAGTTAATTAGCTGTGCTGATCAATTCAAAAACATTACTTTCCTAAATTTTAGACTATGAAGGTCATAAATTCAACAAATATATCTACACATACAATTATAGATTGTTTTTCATTATAATGTCTTCATCTTAACAGAATTGTCTTTGTGATTGTTTTTAGAAAACTGAGAGTTTTAATTCATAATTACTTGATCAAAAAATTGTGGGAACAATCCAGCATTAATTGTATGTGATTGTTTTTATGTACATAAGGAGTCTTAAGCTTGGTGCCTTGAAGTCTTTTGTACTTAGTCCCATGTTTAAAATTACTACTTTATATCTAAAGCATTTATGTTTTTCAATTCAATTTACATGATGCTAATTATGGCAATTATAACAAATATTAAAGATTTCGAAATAGAATATGTGAATTGTTCACATACATAGAAATGAAAAGTTCATTTCGTAAAGCAAGATGCTGGGTGAAAGAGTGCTTTTGATTGAAAGATCACTAGATTAGTAGAGGGCAAGACTTCTAGTCCCTAATCTACCCTTAATAGCCATGTGGTCACGTGTAAGTCAGTGAACCCATCTCATTCTCCTCATACTTTTTTCATCTCTAAAATGAGGGTATAATTTAAGCTCTTCATTTTTTTTTTTTTTTGAGATAGAGTTTTGCTCTTGTCACCCAGGTTGGAGTGCAATGGCACGATCTCAGCTCACTGCAACCCTCTGCTTCCTCGGTTCAAGTGATTCTCCTGCTTCAGCCTCCCAAGTAGCCGGGATTACAGGTGCCCGCCACCACATCTGGCTAATTTTTTGTATTTTCACCATGTTGGCCAGGCTGGTCTCGAACCCCTACCTCAGGTGATCCCTCGCCTCGGCCTCTCAAAGTGCTGGGATTACAGGTGTGAGCCACCACGCCCAGCCCAATATCAGTTTTTCTTTTTTAACACAAGGCTAACACAATCAAAATACTAGCTAGGGGAGAAAAAAAAAATAAGGCACTGTTTATGTGTAACAGGCTCTTGTTGCAATCACTGGGCAGACAATAAACAGTAAGAATCAATCCTTTTCATATATCCTTCTTGCAGAATACATAAAATCCCACAAATGGCTATCTTCCTTTTTATGATATTTGGAGAATTGTAGCTAAGTGACAGATATTTTGCTTGGGTGTATAGACCACAAAGGACTGTGTTTGATGATGGTTTGCATAAAATTATACCTTAGTTTTTACTTTGTATGTTACATGTTAGATTTAGAGTATGAAAATTAGTAGGGAGGATTATTAACAAAGAACAGGGCAAGAGGAGTAGAATTAAACCTCTTCTAATACCTGTGCACAAGTAGGCTTTTCAGAAACTCTACAACCCTACATAAACTGGATAGTTAGAAAAGCACACTCCCAAGGAAGGCGGTTATGTTTTGCAGTTTGAATCAGAAGAATAGAGCTATAGCAATCTTCATTCTATAGTAACATTAAAGAGCCTGGTTTATATTATAGCAGTCATTAAGATTTAAAAATTTACATCTTGCCGTTCTTCTTACTCACAGATTTTCGAGAGGTAATGTAATGATCCACGAGGTGAGAATCACTGCCTTTTATAATGCGATTAAATTGCATGAACAAAGTTTCCAACAAATAACAGTAATAAAAAGAAACATGTATTAGCACTTAATAAGCCAGGTGCTGTACGACGTGTGTTACATGCTTTCAATCCATGAACTGGTAAACTGGTACTAGTATCTCTATTGGACATGTGAGGAAACCAAATGGAGTTGATAAACAGTAGAGTTAAAAATTACTCTTCATATATTATATTGCCTCAATCTCACAGACATCTCTGCTACCAAAAGCTATCATATCTAGATATGCGGCATAAGGATGACCTTGGGGCACACTAGAATTCTTTGAGAGAATTCTGGCAGAGAAAACAAATATTTATTCCTACAATAAAACCCAGCATTTTACAGGTTTTATTTTTAACTATGAAGTATTGTTATCTGTATCTTTCATATAAGTGTGCCCGGAATTTATTTCTTCTGGTGGGTTCTTGGTCTCGCTGACTCCAAGAATGAAACCGCAGACCCTTGAGGTGAGTGTCACAGTTCTTAAAGATGGTGTGTTCAGAGTTTGTTCCTTCAGATGTTCAGATGTGTCCGGAGTTTCTCCCTTATGGTGAGTTCGTGGTCTCGCTGACTTCAACAATGAAGCCGCAGACCTTTGCAGTGAGTGTGTGACAGTTCTTAAAGGCAGTGCGTCCAGAGTTGTTTGTTCCTCCCGGTAGGTTCGTGGTCTCGCTGATGTCAGGAATGAAGCTGCAGACCCTCGCGGTAAGTGTTACAGCTCATAAAGGTAGTGCAAACCCAAACAGTGAGCAGTAGCAAGATTTATTATGAAGAGCAAAAGAACAAAGCTTCCCCACCATAGAAACGGACCAGAATTGGTTGCTGCTGCTGTGGTAGCCAGCTTTTATTCCCTTATTTGGCCACACCCACATCCTGCTGATTGGCCCATTTTACAGAATGCTGATTGGTCCATTTTATAGCGTGCTGATTGGTGCGTTTTTACAGAGTGCTGATTGGTGCATTTACAATCCTTTAGCTAGACACAGAGTGCTGATTGGTGCCTTTATAATCCTTTAGCTAGACACAAAAGTTCTACAAGTCCCCACCCAACCCAGAAGCTCCGCTGGCTTCACCTCTCGTAAGGAAATTGAGGTTCAAACAAGTTTCAAAGTGCTAAAACTACAGTTTCTCATTCTCTGCAACTGGATTTCCACTCATGTGTTTGAATCCCAGGCTCTAAGACTTAACTTGCCATTCTGTGACTTTATGTTCCTGCAATTTACACAAAGCTACTATCTGTCACATCTCTGGTGTTAACTTCAGACTAAACTTCTTTTTGATTCACAATGACCACACACTTTTTGGTTGAGGTTTTGCTATCGGTTTATTGTACTGGTTAATAGAGAGCTTCTTCCAGAAATTTGAGTAGATGGAAGAGGAAGTAGCACATTCCTAAAAATGTACCATGCCTTTCAAGTCACAAGCATCCCTATCACATGGCTGTCAAGGGTGGCTCAGAATAGGTAGAGTTAAGAATTTAAAGTAAATTGGTGTAAGCGATGAAAGCTTCATCTAAAAGCTTATATTACATCAACTGAAATGTAAAATAATTGGAACATTTTCCAGGCATCCCTGTTATTTATTTGTCTCTCTTTCCTTGCTTGCCTACTTCAAAAGTCATATGGCATGGTGACTAGAACTGTCCTGCCAAAGAGTTTGTCAATATAAGATTCCTTTCTTTGTAAACATTCTACCTTGGGGCTTCATTTATAATCAAAAGGAGTACTGTAACCTGTCAAAAAAAAGCTACCTGTGACAATATATTATGTGATGGTTACCTGCAGTAAGGTGGTGGCAATAAATAAATAAATAATCACAGAATGAAACCGAGCAGAACTGTCAGAGAAATGGTCAGAATTCACACTCTGAAGAACACGGCTATACAGTAATAATCATAATAAATAGCCACTCAATCCAAAACATCACTGGGCGACTTGTCACATATATAATCAGTGGAGATGTGATTGAAGCACAAGGCTTAAGTGAATGTCTAGAGAGCTAATTGATTCATTTTTATGGAAATTTTACTTATTTTAAATGTCATCCCTGACCATCTTGAACTTTTACTTGAAGATTTATTTTTTTTTTTAAATCACTGTTTATTAGATTTAGGTATTCTGGTCTTTGTTTTTCTTTTTTATCTATGTATGATTTTTATTTTTTTATGCAGTGTCCTTAAGCTTCATCAATGAGAAGAAATGTATTAAAATCCATTTATTCTTACCCTAATTCTTATAAAATAAGATTAATTTTTATAAGATGAAGTCACTCTTATGACTCATTCTCTATTATTTTTAAAACAAACAATATTTTTCCTCAAAATGTAATGCATTATTTGATCTGTTATTGGCAATATTACTGTGCCCTGGTCATTTTGGTAAGATAATCAATCATTAGTTTATGGAAATAATACAAGTGAAACATATATCATTGATTTTTTTTACTGTAGCAAAACTTTTCCTGTGCATAGCTACAGTTATTCTGTTTAAAAATATTTAATAGTCATTTTCCCTCCTTCTACATGTGTCTTGATTTCACTATATATGTCTAAACTTGACTTACATTTATTTTAGCATACTGCTATTATACACAAACTATAATGAGTCTTAAAATTATCAGGTGAGTTAAGTGTCCTGTGTTTAAATATTTTCTAGGAAATTAACCCAGGGAATTGAGGTGGATAATGAATTTAATGATGTTATCTAGGAAAATAGAAATGATATCTTAGAAGAAGAAACTACTCTATATCATGCATATACATATGTAGCACAAAAGCAGTAATTCATTTAAAAAGGATAAATATTGTGACATGTAAAACTACATATGGTACTTTATAAAGTTATTAATTTTATTTTAGAAAATATGAAAATGCATAGTTCTAAATGGTGTGTGCATCTAATTTAAAAATGGTCAAAGTTATCAAGATTATATATAGATATGTAGCTTTACAAGTAGCATAATTCATTGAAACATCTTGAAATTCCATGTACTGTCAATACATTAAATAAAAATTGTAAAAGATGTTACAATAGTTAAACAAATAAGAATAAGCTCAAGAGTCACTCACCTCCAATTTGCATCTACAGCTTTATTTCTTCTCCTTTGGTTAACTGAACTTTCTCAAAGATTAGTTCCTCATTTACTGTCTTGACTTCTGCTGTTTTCCTTCTATTAGAAAAAACCTATGCTTATGTTTTTCTCATTACGACATGAATTAGTCTACATGGACAATTTTGAGAACAATGTTGAAAAGTGTAAAGAAAAAGAACCATTAAAAGGCCACCCATCCCACTCTATCCAGTGTTAATGACAATAGGATATGTAACAGATATTATCAAATATATTAATAGAAATCCAACTTCCTGCTGGATATTTCTCATTTGATTTTTGGCCATTTCTCAAAGTAAAATATCTGATTCTGAACTCATTATTAGTTCTGTCCAAATTACAATTCATGAAAGATGAACTTTTTATTCATTTTGCAACCCATCATCCTCAAGGCAGAAACCTGTATTTCACTACTTTCTTTACGTTTCCTGCTATATAATCAATACCTCTTTTCACTTTCTGCTGCTACTGCATTCGTTCTAGGCTTATCACTTCTTGCATAAACTTTTTAATTAGTTCCAAACAATCATTATTACTCTTCTGGACAGTATTTCCAGATTTTCCCAGTGAAAATTAGTTCTGCCCTAGTATATGTTACATGTTTTATAAAACTTACTACATTGTGGTAAATATGTATGCTATAATTTTATTGCACACTAGAATGTGAGGTCTACATTAAAAAAAGGGAAAATGCCTTTTACATTATCCAAAATCATAGCTCAGTGCCTGGGACATACATATTAAGTGAGTAATAGATTTATGTTGAATGAATTAAAACATCGATGGGAAGGTGAATAGTTTGGAATTCATGTGAGGTCATGTAAAGAAAATAATGCATTGGAATAAAAAAGAAGAGGTTTAACAGAGCAGATGTTAGATGTATGAACTAAGATGACAATAGTAAATTCAGGTTGGTGGGCAGAAATACTAAAATTGACACAGAGGTAAATAATCTGAAAAGCAACATACCCTACTAAAAAGGAAAATTGTAAATTCACATATTCGTTAATTCAATCCATTTTTATTGTGTATTTATCGAGTGCCAAGCAATATTCTAAGTGTTGAGAATGACTTAAAATAAAAGTCTGCCATGCATGGAAGTTATTAACACATTCCAATTAGCATAAAACTGAAAATTAACCAACAAATGAATACGTATGATGCCCCATGACATAATGCTATGGAGGAAAATAAAGTGCTATGGAGAAAAATAAAAATAAACAATTTGCACTAAATACAGAATGATCAGGAAGAGTCTTTCTGATAGGTGACATTTGAGCAGAATACTGAAGGATGTGAGAGAATGAGCTTTGACAAAACATTGAAAAAAATTTTCTGTGGGGAACAGCAAATTGCAATGCCGTGAATGGAGAGTCATTTGGGATGTTCATGGAAAAGAGCAGGGGTCTGTTGTGGCTGGAGCTGGAGATAGAGAATGAGTGTAGGAGACTGGTGGAGAACCACAATCTTATACAGCCCTAAAGGTAATTGTAAGGTTTTTGGAGTCTGAATGAAAAACGGTTCTCTCATTTAAAGGCAGTGAAGTGGCAGGTTCTGACTTTCCCTTTAAGAGGCTGACCCTAGGAGCTCTGTGGAGAATAAATTTTAGGATACTGAGTTTGGAAACAGGGAGAGTAATTGGAAGGTATCCTAACAAATCAGAAAGGAGATGGTGTTTCAAACAAGTGGTAGCAAGGAGGTGCAAAGAAACTATTAGATTTGGGATATACTGTAAAAGTAGAGCTGCTAGAGTTTGCTGGTCAATTGTATGTGGAATGGAAGAAAAAGGAGGGAAAAAAGATAGCTCTAGTATTTTTAACCTGCGCATCTGGAAAAATACTGTTTCCATTTATTCCCAGTTTAGAAGGAGCAGATTCGGGTAAGGATGATCAAGTTGTTGGTTTTGGATTCCTATGAGATACCAAAATAGAGATGTTGAAAGTACTGTTAGTGGCTGGGCACGGTGGCTCATGCCTGCAATCCCAGCACTTAGGGAGGCTAAGGCAAGAGGATCACTGGAGCTCACAAATTTAAGGCCAGCCTGGGCAACACAGAGAAACCCCATCTCTACAAAAAGTACAAAAATTAGCAGGGCATGGTGGTATGTGCCTGTAGTCCCAGCTACTCAGGAAGCTAAGGTGGAAGGATTGCTTGGACCTGAGAAGTGGAGGTTGCAGTGAGCTGAAATCACGTGACTGCACTCCAACCTGGACAATAGAGTCAGATTTTGTCTCAAAAGAAAAGAGAAAAAAAATGCAGTTAGAAATACAAGCCTGGTTATAGGAGAGACATTGGGGCTAAAGACCTTTGACAGATTTCAGCATATACCTGAATAAATAAAAGCAGAAGAAAGTAAAGGAAAAGCTAAAAATAAACTAGAGTAGACAGGAATGTACAAGGTCTAGGACAGGTGTTGGCAAACCATAGGTTGAAGGCAAAATCCACTACTTGTTTTTGTAAATAAAGTTCTACTGGAACGCAAACAAGTTAATTTGTTTCCATATTGTCTATGGCTGATTTCACCCTAGAATTGCAAAGTTAAATAGTTGCAACAGAGATTTTATGGCCCACCAAGCATAAACCATTTATTATCTGGTCATTTACGGAAAAAATTTACTGACCCCTGACTCAGGGGAAGGTAGTTAACATAATAAAAGTTGGATTAATTTTTACCATGGTTTTCCCAGTACAGCCCTGGTTTATACCTACTATCCCAGCTTTTGGAACAAATACATGACTTTCTCCCTCCCTCCCTCCCTCCCTCCCGCCCTTCCTTCCTTCCTTCCTTCCTTCCTTCCTTCCTTCCTTCCTTCCTTCCTTCCTTCCTTCCTTCCTTCTTTCTTCTTTTTTTTCTTTCTTTTATTTAGATAGAGTCTCACTCTGTCACCCAGACTGGAGTGCAATGGCATGACCTCAGCTCACTGCAAGCTCTGCCTCTCTGGTTCAAGTGATTCTCCTGCTTCAGCATCCTGAGTCGCTGGGATTACAGGTGCATGCCACCACACCCAGCTAATTTTTGGATTTTTAGTAGAAATGGGGTTTCACCATTTTGGCCAGGCTGGTCTCGAACTCCTGAACTCAGGTGATCTGCCCACCTTGGCTTCCCAAAATGCTGGGATTACAGGCCTGAGCCACTGTGCTGGGCCTAGACTTTTTCAATTTCCAGTGGGTTTTTGGGCAATATACTATATAATCACCCAAACTAAGATTAAAATAAGAAAAATTACACCTAGAACACAACGCTTAGTACTATACCAATATATTTTATCTTGGCTAAATGGCAAAAAAAATGTAAAATCATATGTAATAATAATTTTAATAGACTGAATTAATGAATAATTTTATTAAATTTAGTCAAGTGTTGACAGTGTCTGTGTGCTATATCATAACAGAAAAGAAGGAAAAGCACTATAAATGAAGTCACACAATAAGGAAAATTAATAAGCCTAAAGTTTTTACCCTGGAAAGCTCCTATCACTTTGGTACTGTGATGTAGCAACAGAGAATAAAATCAAGAAGATTGTAAATATATTAGATAGACCCAGTCGTTCGGTTACAACTTAGAGTAACTTGAACTATATGAATTAGCCTTCATTTTATTAAAATTCAAAATCGCAGTCTTCTATTTCAAATTATTCTTGTTATATTATGTAGGACAAATTGAGAATTCTGTGTGTGTTAATGGGTTTCATTTATGAATTTCCCTTCAAACTGTTAACCCCAGAAAATAATTTCTACTTCCAATGCGAATATATTTGTATTAATTTTGTATTATATTTTAAGACAGAAATGGGAGGTAAGCTAAGCAAAATTTGAAGTTTTAAAATATGTAATAATTTCATATTTTTACCTATACATATTTTTAAACTTTGGGGCATAGGTTGTGTTAGGTAGTTAAATAGATGTTAGCAACTGGGAGAGGTAAGAAGAGTGAAGAAAGGCTATCACTAACATAGTCCCTGGCACACCTAAGTTCAGTGATAGAACTGCCCTAACTCCACCCTAATGGATAAAGTCTGTGGTAAAGTCTGTAGCCAGCACATCCCGAAGGTGGAGAATCTAGGACGCAAGTAGAAAGCCCCTAAAATGGCGCATGCGCAGTAACACAAAACCATGCCTCCAGGTCACCCCAAGTTCATAATACCATCATTATAATAGAATTTACATGTGGTTTTTTTCCCCCCACAGCCCATCCTCCTGTGGGTTTTTTCTTAAAGAATTATGGGTAAGAACATGCTCAGTTTTAGTTATATAACCATAAACTGCCAATCAAATGATATCATCTTGTCATTCAGACACAGCCCAAACCTTAACTCCCTTCCCCAGAACCCCATAAAAGCCCCCTGAGTTTTGTAAAGCAGGGCTGATTTCCCTTCACAGGAATCAGTCTGCAGTCCTTCTGAGAGTTTATTACTGTGCTTCAATAAACTTTGCTTTGAGCTTGCACTTTGGTGTTAGTTTGCAATTCTTTTCTCACTATCGCAAGAACCGAGATTGCTGGTCCAGAGCTCCAACTCTGTTGATCTCCTTGGTTAAAGAATCTGCCCAATGCAGAATTCCAGGAACAGTTTGAATAAAAAATATGTTAAATAAATATGGCCATATTTATTTAAAAGTTTTGAAGGAAAAAGAGCAATGTTTTTTAGAAAATCATAAATAGTTTTAAATGTCATGAACCAAATAATATGAAATTTTACTCAGTCCATCAAAGGCAATCGAATCTATAGCAAACTAATTGACCTTAAGCTATGATTTCCCAAAAGATATTTACAAAGCAGTTCACAGTATGAACTGGCATAGACACTAATAAATGTTACTTTTCAAAAACTTACGTTGAAGACTATTTTATTCAAAATGAATTGTGAAAGTTCTGTAAGTCAAGCAAATCAGATCAATTCTGCAGCATCATTCCATGCAGCATTGCCTGCTGGGCCCGTGGTGTAGGAGCTGTACAGGAGAGCTAGAGGATAAGCTGTTTAATGTTATAATATCATGAGTTTACATTACTTGAATTATTTGGCAAGAAGCAGAAAGGGAAAATGATAGTGTTGGTCCAAAAAGACAACTAAAATAATGAGTATGTGAAAGAGAGTGATGGTCCATGGAACACTTTATGAGATATGTCTAGTAATTTTAAAGTAATTAAATATTATAAGACAAAAATTATTAAAGAGCAATTACCTTTCCCTGGGTTGTACAGTTTTTCATATTAAATAATTTACATTTGAATTCAATTAGATAGAACAAGACTTTTGAAAACATTAAGGTTAGCTTTTAAAATTTATGTGAATCTGCACTTTGGCAGCATTATACTTTTGTGTACTTCTATTAAATTTGTTAAAGTCATATTAAACCCTTGTGTATGTATAATTGAGTTTTTTCCCTAGTGAAAAATATTTCCTGTCCTAATGAAGGTGAAATAAGGCTTTTTAAGTAAAACTCACAGAACATTTCTATTTTTGTTCTGCTTTGTTTTCTCAAAAAGAGTATGTTTTTAGTTATATTCACTGTCTAATTTTCATTTACTGTACTCTTCCTTGTTGATACATTTAGTTGCAATTTTGGTGATGGGCATATTTCAATATAAAAGGGTAAACTGGAATTGGATGTGTGAGTTAGTAAAGAATCTAGAAGTAAATTAAATATGTAAAACTCATGTTTACATATAATATAAATAACCATATGGAGCACATAATAGAAAAAATATATTAAGGTAGCATAAATAACCATAAAGAATGATACAAAATACATGTGTAGAAATATTGATTATTTGAAAAATTATCCAGGTATATAAAAATATTTTTAGTAGTATATAAAATGATATGACATGATTTGTTGTAGATTGTCTCAAAGGCTTCCTGAGAGGTTAATTTTTAATTTGGTTGTAAATTTTACTTGTTAAAAACTGATAAGATTTTTTTTAGAAAGAAGTATAATGAGGTGAAAACTTTGCACATTGATTATTAAAATTATTTATAAAAACTACAATAAACAAACAAATTCTACTAATGAAAAAAGAGGAAAATTAGTAACAGATAATTGATAGTTCTGAAAGAGTACTATCAATTGGTACATGTGAAAATTTAGTATATATATGAATATGTTTCATAAGTTAATAGCAAATGGTTTGGGAACAAATCATTCCCTAATTATTATAGAACAAGTAGTTCATATTCTTACTAAAAAGACATTTTAAATAACTTCATATATTAATGTAGGAAAAAAACCATCATTATCACGAAAAAACATACAGAGCGCCTGGACCAGTGTGAACATGTAAAGAGCTGAAAAGAAATCAAGCTTGCCCTTACAACAAGAAAGAACAACACAAGCTGAAAATCAATGACTTTTCTTTGAGAGAACTGAAATCACAAGCCACTATGGCAAAATTTGAAAAGATAGGCATCTACCTTAAAACACAAGACCTGAGCATTTGCTTACCTGGGGCAGAAGGCACCCAAAGCCCTATAAACTAGTAGGGCATTAAAGAAGCACATTTGACAAGTTGCTGGAGGATGAGAGTGGGCTGGTGTCAGTGAGAAGGTCTCCTGGGGACCACGCTCACTGACAGTCCTCACACTTTCATAACTTTCCTCCAGGAATCCCTCCAGGTTCTTACAGGGCAGATAGAAAGAATCCAGAGAAAACTTCTCCAATGTTCAGGATGGGGAAGAGAAGAGCAACCACCATGAAATCCACCACAACTCCTCTCCTAGAACAAAAGCTTTACTTTGTAGGGAAAGGACATCACAGAAAGGTACAGGTAAAATACTGCGGCTAGGAGATGGGAACTTCACCCAACACCAGCCTCCCTTTCTCAACTAAGGAGGGGAGAGAACCTTAATTTCTTTTATTTCTGGGAACAGAATAGGAAAAGTGGAAGACATCTGCTGAAACTAGGTAAGGTATTGGGAGGAATGGAGAGCAAGTTCCACCTCTGGAAGAGGGGCAGAAACTTTATTTAAAATTTCTATGGAAAATGACATTGCTATTTTAATAAGAATAGCATAGAATCTGTAAATGGCTTTGGGCGGTATGGTCATTTTAACAACATTCTTCCAATCCATGAGGGTGTAATATTTTTCCATTTATTTGTATCGTGTCTGATTTCTTTCAGCAATGTTTGGTAGTTCTCCTTGTAGATATCTTTCACCTCATTGATTAGATGTAATCCTAGGTATTTTATATTTTTTTGTGGTATTGTGTTCTTGTTTTGGCTCTTAACTAAAATGTTACTGGTATATAGAAATGCTACCGATTTTTGTACATAGATTTGGTATCCTAAAACTTTACTGAAATAGTTCACCAGTTCTAGGAACTTTTTGGCAGTCATTAGAATTTTCTAGGGTAGAATCATGTTTTCAGTGAAGAAAGATAGTTTTGAGGTATGTTCCTTTAATACCTAGCAGCACATCAAAAAGTTAATTCACCACACTGAAGTAGGCTTTGTTACTGGGATACAAGTTTGGTTCAACATACACAATCAATAAATGTGATTCAACAGAATCAAAAAGAAAAAGATAATGATCTCCTTAATAGACACAAAGCCTTTGATAAAATTCAACATCCATTCAAAATAAAAACCAATTACTTTTAAAATAATTATTAGAAAATTATTTGTCCCAAATCATTTGCCATTAACCTATGAAACATATTTGTATATGCCCTGAATTCTTGCGTGTACTAAGTTCTCTTTCTGAATTATCAGTTATGTTTGTTGTTGGGAAGTGGCCATTTCATGGCCTCTGTCAGTGGATAAGTGATGATATTTCAGCAGCCTAACATGAGTGATACTGAGTTGGTTGGCAGAGTCATGGCTCCTTAAAATATTCACATCCTAATCTCCATAACTGATGGATCTCTTAGGTTACATTGCAGAGATGAAATTAACATTACAGATGGGTAAATTACTTAATCAGATGGCCTTAAAATAAAGAGATTACTCTGGAATAAGTTGGTGGGGCCAATTTAACTACAAGAGTTCTTAAACGGGGACAAAGGAGGCAGAAGAGTCAGAACCAGAAAGAAGACATCTTGAGAAAGACTTGGCTGACCACTGCTGTCTTTGAAATGGGCTAGGGCCAGGAGCCAAGGTACGCAGGTAGCCTGTATAAGCTGGAAATGGTGAGAAAACTAATTTTACTCTAGAATCTCCAGAATAGAATACAGCCCTGCTGACACTAATTTTACCCTAGTGAGACACATTTTGGACTTCTGACTTGCAGAAGTTTAAGATAATAAATCTGTGTTATTTTAAACCACAGAGTTTGTGGTAACTTGGTACACTACCAGTAAGAAATTAATTTACTGATTTATTTCACTTTGAAAACAAACAAAACAGATTTAGAAATGGATGTCCTTTCTCTAGTATCTCTTCCTCTTGTTTGATGACCTTGGAATTCATGTGTTGATGATTTGGTATGGACTCTTGGACTTGGTATGAATGGGAAATACACATCTATTTTGTTAGGCCATTAAGATTAATAAATTGCCTCAATTGATGAAATCTCCAGTAGAGTCATAGCTTTGCTAATATCAATTAGGAAAATCATACTGTAAAATGAATAAGTTCAAAATAGAAAACATCCCAGCCAAATATCTTTAATAAGTAAAACAATAACATCTTATATATGAAATAGTTATCAAGTTTGTGAGCCCAAAATATTTTAAGTAAACATAAAAGTCTTTTATGTAGAAGTCACATGAGAGAGGAAAGTTAAGATCTCAGTAAAGTTAAAACCAATAAGGAATATAAGTGACTGATTATAAAAGTATGATACATACTCCTAAAGTACTAATAATTTAATATTAGAAATTTATAGAGACTGTGTTGCTTATATATTAACTTTAACAATTGATTTGTTAACTTTACCCAGATTACTAAAGTTTAAGGTTAAGATTATTTTAATGATACATTTCCTAGAACCAAACATTATTATTATTACACATTAGTCTTCAAATTATAAGCTGGTCCTCAGACAGTATTAAATAATCAAATCTGTACTATCATAAATAATGCAGAATCTTCTCTTATATTCAAAATTATTTTAGGCTTAACAGGCACTATAAGTTGTTTTGGGAAAGGTTTTGTTTCTAACAATTTTGATATTTAAATATGAATAGTTTATATCCCATTCCTTATTGTTCATCAATGTGTAAAATAAACATTCACGTTTTCACTGTGCTGTCATTTCCAAGTAGAAGAGAATAGTTTTAGGCAACATATGACCAAGTCAATGGAAAAGCTTTAACTTACCGTTTGATATAGAATGATACTATACGAATATTAAAACTACAGATATCACTACATCATTGAAAGCTGTCTCAAATAAGTAAAACCAAAATTTGCAATACTTTTTTTTTCCCTTATAACTCCCAGGCCATAAATAGTCATTTCACAGAACCAGCTAATAGAAATATTAACAAATATAGTAAACTAGAGAGTATCTTCTTTTTCCCAGTTTTAACAGGCAGCAGAATATATTTAAGAGATATGTGTGGGCATCTTTTGATGCTTGGGTAGGAGAGAGTAAAATGAAGTATGACAGACAGAGAAAAAATAGGGTTGCAAAGAGATCACACACCCAAGCATCATGCTCTGGGGTCACTATTACAGGACTACCAAATTCACATCTGCATGGAAATGTGTCATTTGTAAACAGCAGACATAGGGAAGCAATGTCTGCAAAGCAATATTGCCAGAGGACCCTTCAGTTTCAACTTAGGTACATAGAAAGCTTAAAGCTACCTGCTAGAAAACACCTAAAACTAGCTAGATTAGATGAAAGAGTTTATGGGGTTAAACTAAAAGGTCTGATATTATAAAGAAAAAATGTTCAAATTCACTGTGAAGATTTTATAAATGTAACAAACAGACAAAATATGCCATAGTTCTTTCATCTCTAATCGTTTAATTGTAGAGTAAATTATGTTGTTCTGTTTTCAGCATTTAATTTTTAAATTAGCTCTTGGCTGCAATGTCCTTGATTACAGAACTTAATTAGCTGAGCCCGTTGAAAGGAATTATGCTATATACAGGGTACATGATCACATGACAAAGCTTAATACAAGCAATCAGAGTCATAGGGAAGCCTGGTTGACTGGTTCTAAAAGGTGAAAGAACAGTTGCAAAACAGTCTGGATTTAAAAACAGAAGATTCAAGGGAGAAAGAGCAACAATAAAATTAGATAAGTCTGTATTCAATTTAGGCAAATATTATGACTGAATGTAAGAATAGAGTATAGAAAAAATGACTTATTATTTATGTTTTTTGTATTAGTTCACCAGTATAAAGAGTGAACAACATGAATATTCCTTAATGACAAAATTGAACAAAAACATTCTGATTTTTAAAAAATTTTCTAATCTACTAGCTTCTTAAAAAAAGACCATTTTACCCACGTTGTGTAAACTTCTTTGTGTTTCCACTAGTCAGTAATGCTAGCTTCTGATCTTTTATAATGCAAATTATATACATACATACAAATTTTCTATAGTAAATTACATCTAAGCCAGAAGTGGCATTTTAACAATATCCTATAAAGTGGATGAGTTCACAGAGCTAATTACATCAAAGAATTTTTTTTTCTCTCCCACAACTTTATGGAAACTTTGAGATCTTAGCTAAATGTATATATTCAACACAATTTCCAAGAGAATATCATAAATTTAAGGCAATCAAGAAATTGTGTAATGTTAAAATGTTTATTTTGGATAGCTTGCGTGAAATAAAAGAATAGTTACTATAGAAAAAATAGATTTGAGCACTATGAGAGGGTGGAGTTGGTACACTGGCAGTTATTTCTCCAAATTAGTTTTTAAGTTTGTTATTTATGTAACATGAGGTAGTCACCTATTCCTGCAAAAGTAAACAACCTCTTTTTCTATTCGGCGAAAAAAAAAGACATGCATTTGTTGCTCACATCACATGAAGGCTGTAGGCCATCTGTGGGGCAGGTCAACTGAGCTCAGCCATGCTCAACTGGGTTCTGTTGGGCTGGACTTAATTCTACGCTAAAACTCATTGTTTACAAACACAGGTAGGAATAATAGCCACTATCTGGGAAACATATTTTCACGGTGAAGGAAAAGAAAAAAAGAAGGAGACCCTAATGATACAATTTCATTTAATTCTTCTACTGGGAGGCAGCAAACTTTAATCTTGCTAACATACCATTGGCCAAAGCATGTCATATGTCCAAACCAAAGTTTAAGGAAGTGGGAGAAAGCAATTTTTCCAAAGAACGCATAGACAATTCCCATGAATATAGTCATGGATGTATTTTTTTAATAAAGACAGAGTAAAGAGTTGGGAAAAATAATCCAATGTGCCACAAGGATCAGCATTGTAGTGTATTAGAAATAAAAGATAATATGCTTCTAATAATCATAATTATATCAGGAGGCGAGAAGAAGAATGTTGAAACCACACAGAAAGTCACATCTTGATTGACTGGTTGTCTTGCCATACTTATTGGCTCTCTAATTTCCTTTAACTAGAATGTGAGCACAATGAAGGCAAGTCTTTCCTCTGTTTTGTTTGCCTTTGTATAACCTGGCATGTCATAGGCACTCAATAAACCTTGACTGACTTAAGAGACGTGAAGAGCACATTTAGAGAGAAATGTTACTGGAGAAAAAATTATGGCAGAATCTAAAGCAAGAAGCCAAAACATGTCTAGAGAGGATGTCTCTTTTTTTATATACTTTTTACATGTTATAAAAATTTCCAAATGAGAGGGTAGGGTAAAATAATAGCAAAGCCTATTGAAGTATAAAATAGGGAAGAAGTGCTTGTATCGTCTGGATTTCTACAAGATGGTTTACAAATAACACTTTATGTAATCACACATTTGTAGGAGAATTAAGATGTTATAATAGGATGACCTTCATCTTTCTAGTAAACTATTAGAAGTCTCATTAGATTCGGCTAAATTTAAAACTATACAGTAAATGTAGAATAGTGCATAAATTGTAGGAGTACATTTTAATCATCTTCTTAAAGAGAACACCTCCATGTAAACATCCCACCACATCGAGAAAGAGAACTTTAGGAGAACGTTAGAAACCTTATCATGATCCCTCCATATTACTATTTTTTCTGATAACCATTATCCCGACTTCTCAGTCACTAAGTGAGTTTTGATTATTTTTGAACTTTGTATAAATACAGAACAAATTATACAGTGTCTGACCCTCTCACTTGAAATAATGTGTAAGAGGAATATATTGTGTTTTAAGTGGCAGTAGTTCATTCATTTTTCTTGCTGTACAGTACAATACAGTAATATACTATTTATTATGAATATTTTGTTTGTTGATCTGAACATTTGGATGCATGTTATTTGATGCACATATGTACATTTCAGGGGTCTAATTTTAAGAGTGATATTGTTTGGTTATACAAGTGTGCATGTGCATATACAAATTTAGAGTATATGAATATCTACATTTTTGGTAGAAAATGTCCAAACATATTCCAAAGTGCTTCTACCAATTTATATTGCTAGCAACAGTGAATGAGAGGTACTGTTTTTTATATCTTAAAATTGGACTATTTAAAAAACTAGTTTGATGAGTATTTAATAATATTAGTTAGCTCTTAATACATAGAAAGTTACCCCAACATTTATTGGCCTTAAACTACAACCAATTATTTGGCTTGAATCTATAAGTCTCATCAGGTCAGTCTTAGTGATTCTGGTCTCAGCTAGGCTAATGCTTTTGCAGCTAGCTGTCAGTTTGAGCTGGTTGATCTGGGATCCCCTCAGCTGGGACAGTGACAGACCAAATTCAAGTCTGGGGAAATGAACTCTAGTTTTTGATGGGGGGCTTTAAAAAATATCATTGTAAAGTAGCATGAATATAAGAATGAAAATAATTACAACTACCTTTACAAACAGCCTACAATAGTACTTTTATCTAACGGTAGCTTTACTTTGCGTTTCCCTTGTGGATAACAGTTGAACAACTTTTCATATTTTTATAGGCCTTTGAATAACCCCTTTATGAAATGCCTGTTCAAATCTCTTAACCATTTTTGAAACAGATTACCTGTCTTTTCTTTGATGTATAAAAATTTCCTTTATTTTCAGATAAGAATATGAATCTATTATTAATGCTCTAATTTTGACATATATATATTTTTCTTTTTAGTAGTGCTAAATTTTAACATTAAAATGTACCAATATTTTCATTTTGTGGTAGAATTTTTTCTCTTTCTATTTAACTAAAAAATTTCTTATCATAGGCCCAAGTTTTATCTTTAATTCAACAATAAAATATAAAATTCACCCGGAAGTAATTTTATACATGATGTGAAACAGTGGTATAGTTTGCTTAAACATTTTTTATAGTGATATTGCAATTGACTCATAATATTTTAATGAAAATACCTCTCTTTGGCTTTATTTGGACACTACTATGATGGTCAATATTTGTCATAAAATGTTGATATTACATAGGACCCTTTTAGATTATTTATGGAGTTCCATTGATGTATATGTCTTTTCTATGGCAAGACTACACTGTCTCCATTAGTTTAACATAGCAATATATTTGTTATCCAAAGTAGCAAGTCCTCCCTCATTTTTTCATTCTCTTTATTCTCCTTATATTATTTCTTCAACAATTTTTGTTATTCTTGGTATTTTGCTTTCATACATAAATTTTAGACTTGGCTTTTTAATTGCCAGAAAAATAGTTTCTTGAAATTTTAATTCAGATTGCATCCAAACTAGAGAACAATTTCAAAACAATGTTTTTTTCTTAGTTTTTCCAGACTTTTCTTCTACAAATTTAGTCTCTCTATTTACTTAGCTTTTTACAAAAACTTTTCTTAATAATGTTAGTTTTCTGTGAATAAGTCCTTGTGTCTTCCTTAGTATTTTGTGTTTCTAGTTGACACTTGAATGGTATATACTTTTTCACTATATATTTCCTGTAGGATATAGAACTGCACTTGATTTTGTATATATTGAATTTATCCAGCTAGCTTGATAAATTTACTTTTTAATCTTACTGTCTTTGTGGATATTATTTTCAACTTTTGACATATATAATTCTCACCTGCAGATGTGGAGAGTCATTTCATCTTTTCAATTCATTAACTCCCTTTTGTGCTGCTTTTAAATGTATCCATTCAGTTCTAAAATCACCAGATTTTAAAATATATTTTTGTTTCCTGAAAATACATATTGCCAATCTTTTTTATGATGTTTATTATTTAATAGTGTAAAAAACATAGCTATCTTAAAGTTCGATTATGATAACTCCTTTTAAGTCCCTTGTGTTTCTGATTCTGCTTCTATTAACCTATTTTCATGAAATTGTTTTAGGTTGTGTTGTCTTATTTTTGCATGAATAACTACGTTTTAAAATTTTATTCCATATATCATATATGAAACAGTGCTGTGGTAAATAAAATTTATTTTATAATTTTTTGATGAGAGATCATTTATTTTAATCCCTGCAAATTGGCCAGGCTAGAACCATCTGCAATCTAAAATCACCTTCAAATATATTGAAATGATTCTAGAAATGGGCTTTAGCCCCTTATTAGCTCATATTATTTTCAGGTTATTCTCACTACTACAGTGTAAATTTTTCAGGTTCCAATTCAAAACCTGGTGGATTATTGGTCCTGAATCCTCTTCCAGCCTTGAGCTCCAAAATGTAACTTTTGGATCTTGTGAGTTTATTGTGAAAGAATGTTCTAAACTCTCATCTCTGATATTGAAAGAGGCAAATATCTTTAGGCATAAGCAACCTCTAAGTCTTACTTCTCTCTCTGAGATACTGCCCTCTCCCAGATCCTGGTCCCACAATTCTTCACTGCTTTAATAGTTCTCTAATTCCTTGAAATGTACCCCAGTGTGCGCATGTGTCTGTGTATTCTTGGGCATTTCTGGTTGTTCTTTGGGATGGTTGTTCAAACACCACTCAAACTACCACTTAATTATCAAAACTATGTTTGTATGAGGTATTAACCCTTATTCCAGATACTGAAGTACATTCAGAGAAGTTTTGGAACTTGTCCAAAATTATGTAGTTAATAAAAAATGGGTCCCAGATTTGAACTCAAGTATATTAGGTCATAAAACTCATGTACTAAGTAAGCATTCTGGACAATCTCTGGTTTATAGCCTACCACAACAGGGTAGATTATAAATACATTAATTTTAAATATTTTTATTTACTGCATTTATCTATAAGTATTAAAACTAACCCATATTTCATGCAAATGTGCAAATATATTGCACTCTAGTTTAGATGTAAGTCAGCTACTGTAAGATAATAAATATTTCTGGAATAAATTCATATTCTCATAATTGCATTTGAATTCCTACTATAAAGGAATATTATATGTACTTGTTTGGGGATATGGTATACTTTTCTCATTAGGCCATGTGCATGTCTTTTGTATTTGACAAGGCAGTCCCAGATAAAAGTCTCTATTAAGTAGCATTATGACTTCCCATCTTATTCACTTTTCTAGTAAGATATGTGTATGTTTGCATGTCAACATTTATCTTATGTCTGTATAAATATATATTTTATATATACATATATATTATTTCAAGACTTTTGAATTACATAATGAGTTTTATTCTCTGACTTATCATGCTTATTTTATGAAGTGCAAAGCACATTTATTGTCAATTTGATCTTCATTTGTCTACCTATAATCCTATAATATAGGGGAAGACACCATAAATACTTGGCCTATTGTAAAACTACTTCACCAGTAGTTTTCAGAATTTAGGGTTATTCCTAGTTTATCTACATTAGAGACAGAATCAATTATTCTAGATATATAATCAATCTTTATTGCACAGAAAATGCAGAATTGCACCTTCATGGGAGAATTTTGTGGTTTGTAGAACAACAGAGACAGTTTTAATGAAAATGTAGACTCCAGGCAACAGATGTATAAATATCATACCATCATAGAGAGGGAAATTGAGTATTGTAATGAAAACCTGCTATATACAAGCTTTATTTTTCCTAGTAGATTACAATACTAGTTCAGTGCCACCTTTTATTTGCAGGTAAAGTGACTACTTTCTACAAATGTAGTAAGGTATTTGGACCATTTCTAATAGAGCCGCCACTTTCAGACAGAATGATGAAATGGTTTCATATCACTTCATAGAAAAAATAGGTAGAATGCATTAAACATTGCATTAGATATAGTTTTATTCACAAACTACTGTAAGTTAATGAGCTCCTGGAGGTCAAAGGCCATAATTTATTTATGCATTTTATTTCAAATTATAATTGGTTAGTAATATTTCACGTTAATTAATATGAATTATTAATTAATAAACATTTCTTAAGTATATCTTATCGCCAGGTTCTGTCCTAGATATTTTAAAGAGGATGTTCATATTGAACTTTACTCACAAAACAATCAATTTAAGTATGTATCAGTTTCTTCATTCTACAGCCTAGAAAGATAAACTGATATACTAGTCACACTGACTTTGGAAAAATTAAAGTTTTGGTCTAAGTTTCAGATATAAAATCTATTTCCATTTTACTAATAATCACTTAGAAAAATTTAACTGGTTTTTATTGCCATATGATATTATGAGAAATAATATTTCTAAGTATATCTTGTTTTCAGAAAATATTTATAGCCTTACCATAGAGCTAATAACATTGGAGCACAGGCTATCCCAGAAATATAAGAATATCAGATATTTGTTTACTCCTAAGAAAAACCATACACTGTTTAAATTCCTATTTACAAAGTTATATATATATATATGTATATAAGTAAGCCTAAAATATGAGGCTTACTTTATTTTCCGGTTTAAGTTATAATCTTGATATGAATTATCTACCTGTTTGTGACTCGGTTGGTCAAGATATAATTATTTCTCAACACTAAGTTTTATAGCGAATATGCCAATTGATTTAGCATTGGCTTTTAAGGCTCTTACCAGTTTTTAATATTTTATTAACAGAAGGTAATGGTTGTGTGAGTGGTTGTGATATCTATAGACTGAAGGGTGCTGCATCAATAATATTATTGCTAATAGTTTTAACTAAACTGAAATCTTACAATCCAAATAAGGCCACCACCAAAACTCCATTAGGAGAAAACTCTCTTGCAGCTTATTTACTATTCCTGTTAGCGGTGTTTATGTTTTTTTGTTGTTGCTGTTATTGTTGTGGTGGTGGTGGTGGTTGTTATTTTCCTGGCCCTTTTGCTCAACATTCTTCAAACACTATAAACCTGAGAATTGTAAAATATGTCTAAATCATGCACCAGTTCTGATCAGAGGACTGTACAATCAAGCATAATAATAGTGTGCCTAAACATACAGCAATTAGATATTGGCAAGCTTGAGAGAACACACCCAGCATTTAAAAGTCAAGTTATTATCAGAACCCACACGCTTTTCATCAACACATGCAAAGCACACCTGTGGTTTGTCAGTAATTTTCTTAGACAAGAAGATTGAGCACAAAATGATGCTATTTTTCACAAATACATGGCTTGCATATCCTCCTGTGCTTATTCAGTACATTTTTAAAAGACTGAGATGGATTTAAAATAAATATTATTTTTTCGTTTTAAATATAGAGTTACTTTATAAATGTAAGACATCATTACTGCAAAAACTGTTACAGAGTTTATTTTTAAATTTTTGAATTATTTTATTAAAACCCAGAAAACCTGGTATTAATTACTTTATCTACAAAAGATACATTTCACTGATTGACACTTGAAATATAAGATTAACAAATATCAACACATAAACAGTTTAAAAATTATCAATATTTTAATATTTATTATTACTATGGAAGGTAAGTGTATGAGTTTTCAAGGTTTTTAAAACATTTACAATAGAGCCAATAAACTAGTCAAAAATTAATATATTTTTAGAAAGTTTATAAACACTCAGAATAATAAGTTTTTATAAAATTGCATAGACATTATCCTGGTATTTCAAATTTACTTTCTTTCCCCCCAGAATATTCCTAAAATGATCAAGTCTAACATTCATTTCATTAGGCTGTAAGCAAAGATTTCTATGCTTACTCAGGCCACAGGAGACCTAGAATTCATTGTGTTCTTTGCAAGATAATGTAAAATGTTAATTGATAAAAATGACTAAATATAAAATTTAATAATATTTACATTTAATGTTTTAATAGATTCTAGATCACAAATAGCAATATAGGGTGAAGCAGGGAGAGATAAAATATTAAACTTCACTTTTAAAAGTCTTTTGCACTTCTGTATTTAGCCATGACAGAGTGACAAAGATCACACCTGACCTCCTACCGTAAACAACTATAAAGCTGAATAAAACATACAAAATGCTTTCAGAGTTTGGATTCAGTCAGTGTATAACTGATCCCTTGGAGAAGGCAGACAAATGAAGTGAGTTTTAGAATCACATCACCTTTGCTTCCTGAGGAAATTTTGGGATTACTTTGCAGACAGAAAAAAAACTCTATTCTTCCAGGACATTTAATAGAGAGTGGAGAGGAAAGGCACACCTTAGTGAACTAGATTGAAAACTTCTTTAGATCCAGAAAAGCAAAGCTTTCAAATAGGCCTCGCAGTGATCAAACTAATAATAATTTAATTGCACAACAGGCAAACATAAGCCAATTATTAAAAAACAACAAATTTCAAACATTCAACAAAGTAACAATAAAAATCAGTAAGCATGGCAAGAAGCATAAAGATAGTTCCATAACCAACATAAAAGGGAGTTAATGGACACAGAGTAAAAATGATAGAGAGGATGTAACTAGAAGAAAACAAAATTTTAGCGTTGTAGCACTCATATCTTGGCTTAAACATGTACAGAGATGAGACTATAATCACATATACCTATAAAAAAAGATAGTCAGATTTCATGTTAACGACTTTATTTTGAACTAATCAGAGAAATGAAATTTAGGGCAAACAACTAACCTGAAATCTAGAGAAAAACAAAAAACCATGCAGAAATAAGCAAGACTCAAGCATTGGCTCTCATGGAACAAATATTGCTGAACGCCATATAAACCAGGAAGATTAAACCATACATTTTTAACAATCTGCAGGAGGCCACATGTGGATTAGAAAGAGATTTTGAAGCTGATGTGGCTACAGACATTGAGATATTTCCAGTTTCTTGCAGAATTTCCTGTAGAACCCCACCAGCTACCTAGGGAGAAAAAAACTCCCTGAAAAAAACTCGCCATGGTGCTAGCCATGATTCCTTTCCTCTCTTCCATGGGAAAAATGACTTGATTTTCAGGGGCAAGGGTAGCAAAGGTGTATATTGCGAATGCCATTAGAAACCACTGGAGGAGAGTGGGGGCTCAGGGGTGGTCTCTACACATAGAAAAGGGTCAGGAATATGTGCTAATATGCTAGGCCTAGCATCATCACTCAAAGAAGCGAATAAACACTTTTGAAGACCATGCCCCTGAGATCCAAATGAACTGTGCCTGCTTACGACTGAGGTTCAAACATGGCACCAGAGAACTATCCTTAACCATGCTACCAGATCTCAAATTGAACAGTAGAATATAGCTCTGAGATGAGTTAAGAGTTGGGTTTTATCTAGGGAATAGGAAAATGGTAAGGCCAAAATCCAACTGGGGAGAAATAAACAAAGTTTCACTAGAATTTGAAATCTCTAGTTACAATAAAGAGAGATGCAACAACAGCAGGCTTCAGTTGTAGCCCGATTTCTGATGAGGTTAGTACAAACCTTTACACCCAAGATGCAGAAAGAAAGATGTGCTTTTTTTCCCACATAAAACATCCTTACCTCAGCATCTACTCTCCTACCATAACAACTTTCATCAAAGAAACAAGACAGGAAAAGAGGCAAAACAAATGCAGTTTAAAGAAATAAAGTGGTCATTAGAATCAGACTCAGATATGAAACAGATGTTGGAATTATCAGACAGAGAACATGACATAATTGTGATTAATATGTTTAACGACTATAACGTAAAAGGTAAAACAAATGCAAGGTCGAATAGGTAATTTCAACAGAGAGTGGACACTGAAGGTAAAGGTAAAATGGAAATACTATAAATCAAAAGCACATTAACAAAAATGAGGATGTCTCACCAGGCTTATCTGCAGACTTGACACATCCAAGAAAAGAACCAGTGAACTTAAAGAAAGATCAATAAAAATTGCCAAAATATAAACACAAATAGAAAAATAAAGAATAAAAACAAAAACAGAAAACAGTCAAGCATCCAATTTACTGAGATAATAAAAAAGGGCATAATGTGCATAATTAGAGTTCCAGAAGGATAAGAAAGAATGGCATGAAATATTTAAGAAAACAATAGTGAAGAATTTTCCAAAATTAGAGGCAGATGATGTGTTCAAGAAAATCAAAGACCACCAAGCAGGATCCATGAAAAAAACAAGCCACATTTCACCATATTATTCAGTCTGCTGAAAAACAAAGATGAGGATAAAGAACTTGAGGATAGATGCAGGGAAGAGGTATATACGTTATATTCAGAGGAACAAGTATAAACAGTACCTAAGAAGCCTTATAAAAACCAACTAATCAAGAGGACAACATAATGATATATTTCAAGTACTAAAAGAAAAAAAATAGTATCAACCCATAATTGAATACCAAGTTAAATATTCTTCAAGAGTGAGGAAAAATAAGCAATTTCTTAGACAACCAATACTGGGGAACTTATTGCCAGCAGATCTAGGCTTCAAGAATTACAGCAAATTTTTAAGCAGAAAGTATTGGAAATATCTGAAATCTATTCAAAGATAGTAAGAGCATCATGCATGAAATAGAGGGTTAAAAAAATAATTTGTGTCTTCATTGGCCAGAACTGCAGTAATAAACCACCATAGATTGGGTGGCTTAAACATCATTAATTTATTGTCCCATAGTTCTGGAAGCTAGAAGTTCTGGATTGGGGTGCTAGTAAGGTTGATTTCTGGTGATGTCTCTCTTCCTGGCTTGTAGACAGTCCCCTTCTTGCTATGTCACGACATGCATGGAATTTCTTTTTGCATACGAAGTGGGGGAAGATAAAGTGCTCTCTGGGTCTCTGGTATTCTTTCTTATAAGCACATTAATCTGCTTAGGTTAGGGCCCTACCCTTATGACCACATTTAACCTTAAATTACTTCCTTAAAAGCCCTGTCCCCAAATATAGCCATACTGGGGGTTAGGGCTTCATCATATGAATTTTGGGGGTGGGGCATATTCAGTCCATAATATTACCTTTTCTTATTTTCAAATGCTCTAAAAACTGAATTTTTGAAGGAATAATAGCAAAAAGTACTGTGTACTTGCAGTATATGGAAAAGTGAAATGTATGACAATCACACAAGGAAAAAAATTAAGACTAAAAGGTTATAAGGTCTATATGGTAAACATGTAGTGGTACAAATTATTTTGAAGGTAATCTCAGATTTTTTAAAGATTTATATTGTAAATTATATGTCAAACACTAATATGGGTTTTAAAAAGTATAAATAACAAGTTAATAGAAGAGATTAATAGAAGAGATAAAATGGAGTATGTTAAAACTATAAAGCAGAAAAGATGAAAATAAAAACATAACTAATAGAAATAGCTAGTAATATGCTAGGTTTTACTTCAAATATATCAATAATTACTGTAAATGTGAATTGTATAAATATACCAGTAAAAACTCAAGAATTTTCACTTTAAATAAAAAAAAAAGACTGAACTATATATTAGCCATAAGAAACTCACCTTAAAGATACAGATGTGTTAAAAGTAAAAGAATAGTGAAGGTAAATGCAAATACTAAACGAAAGAGCCCTGGCCTAGCTATATTAACTTCAGATAAAGATTAATTTGAGACTTCAGAACAAGAAGGATTGTTTAAAATAAGGAAGTGTTAACTAATAATGAAGTAGCCAATTTTTAAGGAAGACCTAGGCTAGATGTATATTCAACTTAGAAAGTAAAACAGTAACTGATAGAACAAGTAACCATGGAAATAGTAAGAATATAGATGACCTGAACAGTAATTGTCTCTAGGACAGAACATCCTACCCAACAACAGAATACATATTATATTAAGTACATATGGAACATTTTCTATGATGAACCATATCCTAGGCCATTAGAAAGAAAAAAAAAACACCCTCATATTATTTAAAGTACTTTTGTTCACAGTAATAGATTCAAATTATAAATCAATAAACCCAAAATATGAAGTACTTATATATAAATCTAACAATATATCCAAGGTATTTATGCAGAAAACTAAAAAATGTTTATTCAAGAAATCACAGATTTAAATAAATGGTGATATATACCATGCCCATAGATTTGAAAAATCAATGTGGTTAAGGTGTCATTTCTCTCCAGTTGGAACTATTGACTCATAATAATCCTAATCAAAACCTCAGTAAGCTTATTCTTTCTTTTGGTAGACATTGGAAATTTAACTTTAAAATTTACACAGAAAGGTAAAGGATCTAAAATAGTTTAAAGAATTTTAAGGAAAAATAACAAAGTTGAAATTCGCATTATACAATTTCAAGACTTATTTTAAAGAAACAGTATAAACTTATACATAAAAAAAGTGATATTGAAACAGAATAGAGCACCCAGATTCATGCACATATAGTCAACTATTTTTTTTTAATGTGGCAATGACAACCTAAGGTGAAAAAATAGTCTTTTCAATACATGTTGTGAGAACAAAACTGGAACCCCATATGAAAAAAAAATTGAACCATGTCACATATCTCAGGATCTACATAAAAATGAACTCAAAATGAATTAGACTATAAATGCAAAATATAAATATAATTCTTAATATAAATGTAAATTTCATTCAAAATTTTAAAAATCTGAAAGAAATTATAGAAGAAAATCTACATGACCTAAGGTTTGATTATGAATTTTTAATATGACACAAAACACATGATGCATGAGATGAGAGGAAAAAATGGTTAAATTAGACTTCATTAAAATTGTTATATTTGTTCTGTGAAAGACACTGTTATAAGAATGAAAAGCAAGCAACAGACTGAGGGAATATATTGCTAATCACATATCTGATAAAAAAGACTTGCATCCAAACTATAGAAAGAATACTTAAATCTCAATAACAAGAAAATGAACAACCCAAGTTAAAAAATGGGTCAAATATCTTAACAAAGAAGATATCAAAGGGGATATATAAATGGCAGACACATGAAAAAATGCTCATTTTCATTTGTCATCAGGGAATGCAAATTATAGCCAAATGAGATTCCATAACACACTCACAGAAAAGCAAAATCCACAAGACAGACAATGTCAAATGCTGGCCAGGTTATGAAGCAATTATAGATATCATTCTTTGATAATGGAAATGTAAAATGATGCGTAAAGTTAAACACATGACCCAAGTACTACAATCCTAGATATTTAAGTGACTTGAAAACTATTTACCTAAATACTTGTATGCAAATGTTTATAGGAGATTTATTTGTAATCACTAAAGTTAGAAACAATTAAAATTTTCTTCAACAGGGAATCAGTAAACAGTGGCACAACCATGCGATTGAATACTAGTCAGTGATACACGGGCATAGGATATTGACTTATTCATTAACATGGAGGAGTCGTAAATGTATCTTACTAGGAACCTACATCAAAAGGTGTTATATTGGATGATTATTTTCATATGACATTCTGGAAAATGCAAGACTATAAAGAAGAAAAACTGGTCAGTGTTTGCCAGAGATTATTGGTGACTGGTGGTGTTTGACTACAAAGGAAACACAAAGGGAAATTTTTAGTATGTTGGAACTGTTCTGTATAGTGCTGGGGAACTGGATACATGATTCTGTGCATTTACTAAAACCTATAAAATTGTACATCATAAAAAAGTGAACTTTGATGATTGAACTAAAAAGTATAATACCTTTTGATATTCACAGCAATAATATGTAAGGGTGGAAAAAGTAAAGGGACATAAACAGAAGTAAGGTTTCTCTCTCCAATCAAAATGATTAAATGTTGATAACAGAAGTATATAAATTGTTTATGTGTGTTGTAATTCTCAAAACAACTTACATGAAAACTATACAAAGAGATGCACACACAAAAAAACATAAAAAGTCAATGTAAGATGCTGAAAAAGAAATCCACAAGAAAAGAGAAACAAAGTAAGAACTAGAAACAGGACAAGAGGTAAACCTAACATATTAACAATTACCTTAAATATAAATGGACTAAATCCACAAATCAAAAGCTTGGCAGAGAGGAAAAAAATAACATTGCCCAACCATATGCTGTTTAAAAGAAATTCACCTGAAATTCTTGAAGTTAGTTGAAAGTAAAATGATGTAAAAATACACTATGAAAGTATTAATGATAATTTAGCGTAAAAGTAGCTCTATTAATATCTGAAGTAGACTCAAAACAAAATTATTACAGATAAAGAGGTATATTACATAATGAGAAACATGTCAATCCACTAAGAAGACATGAGCATCCTTAAAGTTGTATACACCAAAATACAGAGTCTCAAAATAACTTGAAGGAAAAACTGATAAGCTGAAAGATGAAATAGACACATTCAAAATTATAGCTTGGACTTTAACTTTAAAAATCAATAAATTTCAAACTTCAAATGAAATTGACTAATTTATTACTAGACACAAATTACCAGAACTGATGTAAGAAGTGTTAGAAAATCTGAATACACCTATAGTATTAAATAATATGAAATCTTAATTAAAATTCTGCACACAAAGAAAATCCCAGGTCCAGTTGCCTTCAATGAATTCTAACAAGGATTTAATGAAAAAATAATATAGATCTCTACTACATTCTTTCAGAAAATAAAGTAGAACATGAGCATCCTTAAAAAAATTAGCCAAATATTGGCCAAATATTAGCCAATTGAATCAAGCAGTATTTTTTTAAATAATATACAATAAAATTGTGATTTATCTGAAGTATGTAAACTTGGTGTAACATTCAAAAATTAATAAAAATTATGTACATAAGGACAGATCATAAAGGAATACCCAAATAATCAACTCAATAGATCTAAAAGAAAAAAATGTTCAGAATTCAACATTCATTCACAAAACACAAATTGATTGCAGATACGTTGAAAATGACTGATTCTGCATATGCTGAGGTTCCATACTAACATTTATAATTGCAATTACATAGCACATGCTTTATGTCAGACTCTGTTGTACATGTTTGTATTTAAGTCATTTAATGCCCACAAAATTGCCATGAAATAGGCACTACTATTTTCAATGTATAAATGGAGTAACTGAGGCACACAGAAGTTGAATTATTTCCTCAGGATTAAAAAGTTAACAAGCGGTTGAGCCAGCATTATGCAACCCAAATTTATTTTCTTAATCATTTAGCATGCTGTCTTAAAATATTGACCTTGATTTTTGCTCATGTTACCTAATTACCATTTTGTGTTCTTACCTCTCCAATACTGGGCATAGGGTTTGGGGGAGAGGAGTTCAAGAAGACAAAAAAAAATAAAAATAAAAAAAGATTGTTGCTGAATATGTTTCACTGTTTAGTCAAATTACGTTTCTCAGAATTTCAGTGATTTAAGTTGAAGTTAGAAACACACACTCTGGATCCTTTTTATTCCTTTTCATTCCAACTTAAAAATTTATGTTTAGTGTTCTCTAATGCAAAAAAAATGTAAGCAACCCTGTTTAACAATAAAACACAATATTAAAACCATTATTTGGGGTTCTGCTACACAATATAGGAAAATGAATATGACCAGTGCCATTGAATAGTCTTTATGGCCTTCATGGATTTTATTCACTGAGAATCAAAAGGTAATCAATATAAGCAATTTGAGTGAAACCAAATGATATACATATTTTAAATAGATATATATGGTAAACTTTTATATAGAATTTGTGACAACTTTGGTGATTTAAATGATACAATGTAGTACTGTATCATATATAATATATTGGGATTTGAACAAAACAATAACTGTTTTATGAATTTTCAAGCATATATGTCAAAGCTCTAAATTTTTTTTAAAAAAATGTCAATTTGCTCATTCTCTTGTCAATGGACAAGGTTTGTTTATGTAATAATGCTGATAAATAGTATATTTGTAGATGTAGTTAGTTACATATTTGATAAAAGTTTGGGAGGTGACAAGATAATTTCAAATTGTTTTCAAGATTGGCTATATCAACATTTTTGTCTGCAGTGTAAAAGAATGAGTTTGTTTCTTTTCTTTGCGACATTTAATATTCTCAGAGTTTTAAATTATTACCCATCTGCATGGTGTTTGACTTTTATTTCCTTGCAATTAAGCACATTTTCATAGGTTTATTATTTTTTCTTTTCTGTGAAATGTTTATTCAAGACTCCTGAGTAGCTGGGATTACAGGCGTGTGCCACTACACCTGGCTAATTTTTATATTTTTAGTAGAGATGGGGTTTCACCATGTTGTTCAGGCTGGTCTCAAACTCCTGACCTCGTGATCCGCCCACCTCTGCCTCCAAAAGTGCTGGGATTACAGGCGTGAGCCACCACGTCCGGCCCACAGTTGGATTTATTAAGCAACAGAAAAGCTCTCAGCAAGGGGATGGGATCAAAAGAGGGTTACTGGCTATGAAGCTGAGTTCAGGGTTTTTATGGACTGGGAAGGAGGAGTGCGCTGACTGGTCTGTGGGTCATCTTGGAGAAAGTATCACTCAGAAAGAGGTATGACAGTGTAAAGAACCAACTGGAGGCAGAAGGAAGGTTTGGTTTGGGACCAATCAGGGCTGAAGTGAAGGCTTGACCCACAACCAATCAGAGGATGTAGTGACATTACACTTTACGTAAATGAAGATTCAGCCTGTGGCCAATCACAGAAAGATAGGGATATATAAAATAGGTAAAAAGTAAGGACCAATTGGGAAGAAGTGTGTGAAATAAGACAAAGGCACACCAATGAAAGAGAAATGTGTCCAAAAAAGGAGTGGAATTTGTTCACCTGGGTTCAGAGAGTAGGCTTTTCCATTCAAGGACGTGGGCTCTTTCTTATCTGGGGCCTGCAGCTTGATTTTCAGGCTGTTCTTGGTGTGAAGGAGTTTTGCTGAGGACCCACCCTAACTGCCTGCCTGAATGATTTCTTCCTTCCTCCTCTCTCATTAGCTCATAAGCTATACAAAAACAGGTGACAAGCTAGATTAGTTCCACTGACTGCAGTTTCCTGATTTTCCTATTCTAAACTACTAGTTGCTTCTTTGAATTATCCTTTTATTTCCTCAAGATATGGCCCATATACACAGTTAAGTAGCTTTCTCAGCTGTAGAAATGTGAGTCCAAAGGCTTCTTTTTATTTTATGGCTACATTCTTTACTCCTAGTTGTAAAAGTGTTCCAAAATGTTTTGAGTTTCCTATTCATCAATGCATAATCTACTCTAACAGACAAGAACTTTAATCATACTTTTGTTCCAAATAGGCTCATCCCTACCTTGGACTATCTGTGAGTATGTTTGAGAACAATACCTTTAACAGTTTTAAAAGCCTTCTTGTTTAAGGTAGAAGATCTATGCTATTAAGATTAAGAGACTTGGAAGTACTATCAGGCATGACCTTATCTTTCTTTGAGATCATAACAACGAATTTTGTAACCACAGACTCGAAACGATCTTTAATCAGAAAGCAAGTTTTAGTGATCCAGTTGGATGTTTCTGTTGAGGCCATTTTTTTTTTGTTTTGAAAAATTTGCTCTCCAGGAGAGTGAGATAGAATTTATTTTCAAACATAATAAATATTTATTCCCTTATATTTTATCTAAACTGTGTTCAATGGTTGAAAGTTACTTCTCTAATTCATTTCTCTCGTCATATTTTCTCAAACACTTCTAAAAGAAGAGGTTGGCACTTTCAACAACGTTCTTCCAGGGGGTCTTCTTAACCAGATTCATGAAGTTCTTAAATATCTATTCTTCATGTTACCACAATTATAATGTTATCTTATGGAGTGGCCATACATAAATATGTCTTTTTATCTCCAGACTCCAATAACAATTTTCTCATGGTCCTTCAAGCTTTCACCTACAGTCTGCTAAAGGATGATCCACCGTCTCCCCACAGTGCATTCCCACATTTTCATGTGGCAATATCCAAATCCTGGTTCTATATTCTGTTTTGTCTATCTATTATTGCACAATAAATTTTCTCAAATGTTGTGATCTAAAACAACTATTTTATTTTGTCCACAATTTTTCAGATCAGGAATTAGGGAAGAGCTTATTTGAACACAGTTTATGATTCACTTGCCATCAGCTGGAGAAACTTGTGCCTAGGGAATCCACTTTCAAAATGGCTTCTTCAGAAACAGGAGTTTAAAAAGAAAACGGTATCAGTGCAAGAGAAGGTAAACCTGAAGTAAAAAGTAAACTGTTACAGAATGATACATATAGTATAATACTGCTTATGTAACGTTTAACCCCACATCAAAATACTATGTTTTGTTTATAAAAACAGTCACATTTAGGAAAATGTGAAAACATGGGCAGAAATTATATCTAAAAGCTTCTGAACAATGACAACCACAGGAGAGAGGGCAAGGAGAATGAAACTGAGAGGAACACATAAAAGACTTCAACTGTATCTCTAACATGTATAATTCTTATTATCTGAGCTCTTGTTATTTTTTCTCCTGGAACTGAATAGATTCTAGTGATTGATTGATTGACTGATTAATTGATTTCTCTTTTTCTCTTTCTTTTCTTTCCTCCCCTCCCTCCCTCCCTTCCTTCCTTCCTTTCTTCCTTCCTTCTTTCTTTTTTTTGAAAGAGGATTGTTTGCAGGAAATGATATCTCCTCACTTTCTGAAATCTTACTGTCTGAAAATCAAGACCTACACAGATTCAGATAAAATGGTGTGGATTGCTCTCTAAACTTGGGGTCTGAGTTGTCACTATCCAAACTCACTAACTGGGTAGAATCAGATAGCACAGGACACAGTTTTTTGTTGCTTTAAACATATAAAATATCTAAAGCAAAATACTACATTTTTAACAATTTGTTAAATCTGAAAAAAAAAATGTCTCTTCACTTAAATATCTTTCAGCTCAATGCTCCTTGGCTTCTTTGCTTTTTCATATATTCATCCTCATGGCTTGGATTTCCCACAGTGTTTGTCTCGGAGTAGTTGCTCTTCTTCTACAGCAGGTACACAAAAGGACAAAAAACAGAAACTGCCAAACCATTTAATGGCTATGCCTGGAACAGATACAGTGTCAATATTGCTTTATTATATTAGTAAAAGAAGTTACAGGGGCTACCCAAATTCAAAGAGTTAAGGAAATAGATTCTACCTCTTACTGGAGGGGTAGCAAAGTCGTATTGCTGAAGAGTGTTTGGAATAAAAAATATTGTGGCCTTCTGTGGGAAAAAAAGTCACATTACATGTAAGAAATAAGATAAAGTATTTGAAGTTTCCACTATAGCAGCTAGCATATGGTCATTATGATAAAAAGGATAATTTTAATGTCTGTATAGTGTTTGCTGTACTTTAAGTACCTTTAGGAATAGAGACAGATGCATTTAATCCGCCCAGCAAAACTATATGCTAGCATCATTATCATTATTATATTACACATGGGATAAATGGATTATAGCATTAAATAATTTGCCCAAATCAAACAGATATCCAGAAGTAGAGCTGGAATTCAAATCTGTTTAACTAAATGTCATACCCTATAAAACAGTCACTAATACAAAAAGAAAATAATATGATGCCACTCAAAACTAACTCCTGCTGCTACCTTTCCAGAAGCTGTAGAATACCCTGTGGCTCACTTATACAATGACTGCAATCATTTTTGTGTGTATGAGTGTGTGGGTAGTGATTTAATTCCTTCTTATATTCAAACATCTAATAAATGTATAAGCAGGTTAAGCATGCTAGTATAATTCATACTCTTAACTTTTACAATAGCAATAAAATATATTTTCCTTAAATCTGTTTATTTCTATGATATTTAATTATTATTTTCCATAAACAACAATCGAGTAAATATCAAAATAAATATTTAGAATTCCATATTTTATAAATTTTTTTCTTCCATTTTCCTTATAGAGCTCTATAAGCATTCTCACTGCTTAGTTTCTTATGTCTATGGTTTGATTCTGTAACTTCATGAGACTTTATTAACATTAATCATTTACAAGTCATTTACTTTAAAAATGTGAATTCTTGAAATAATTGTAGAAATCTGTTTACTAATGTGATTATAGATTATTAGAATATATTCATGTGTATGTGTGATTTTTATTAATCTGAAATGATAGAAATGTGAATATTCATGTTTTAATGTTTAATTCAGGCATTAAATAAAATTACTGAAAAGTGCATCCATCTTAAAATAAATAGTGAGTAAAATTTTTTCTTTTTATTTTTTCTTTCCTTCTAGCATAAATAATACAACAGGTAAATATTCATAATAACTTTATGCTTGAAGTGTTAATCAAAAGAATCATTCATTAGCCATAATTAAATACATCCATTACTTCTTACCATGGAGCATATACTAAAGGGACTGAATTTGACATTTCAATGGACTTGGAAAGTGCTTCATGGTAGGACTGTTTTTCTACATGTATCAGAAATTAAAGAAATAACTTCTAATAAAAATATGCCTAAAATGAATGAGTAAGGAACTCTTTTGAAACAATTCTGTGATTTCCTAGCAGTATTGCTGTTTATCTACACAATTTGCAGGTAGTACTTTACATGCATCTCTGCTTTAATAAATGTTAAAATACTTTTTTTAGTAAATGTTTCATAAAAAATTAATTTTCCGGTGGAATATTTTAAGAGAAATTTTTTTTTAATATTGCACATTAGCTCAGAATTTATAAGGTGTAAAATATAATAAAGTATTTTTAAAAAATACCACTCATACCTCAAAAATCAATTCACTTTTAACTAAAATAACTTTCAAATTTAATTTGATAATTGATTCTATTTTTATAATTTTTAAAATAATAATTAGTATAATATGAAAGAAAATTTGCAAAATGATGAATTGACTCAATAGTTTTCTCTCAAATTTAAGGATACAAAATACAAATATCTCCTAAGAAAAGGCCACCATCAGGGAAAATCTTATTCAAAAGCTTTAGAATAAATTCCAGAAACTGTTTAGCAGTAAACAGAATGCAGACACAAGTGGTTTTAATGATTTAAAAGGAAAGAAAGGCTACTTGTCATATCTTTTTCAGAGGACACTTGAAATAATAGATACTACATTATTGAAAACAATTATCACCAATTAGCTCAAAATACTCTCTTTAATTCATTATATATCTTCTAAGAATCTACTTTTGCAGCATATATCCTAGGTGTCAATGTTAATTTACTAAATGAATGCATAAAGGAGTAGTTATGCTCTCAAGAGGCTTAAATCTATTGGGAAAACAAATACTTAAAACCAACTATGTTTATTAGGAAGAATAACATATTTAAGTAATGAAATAATAAATTTTACATGTGACATATGTGTAATTACTATCATGGCAACCATATGAATAATATGTCTTATCTGCTCAGCTTAGCATATAAGCACCTATCATACAAAAAGATGATTTTTAAAATCCAGAATTCTAAGCAGCAGTCTATTGGAAAATATGGCTCTTCAGAGCCAGTATAGAATGAGATGAAGAGAAGACAGAGTGTAGGGGAACACAACCAACCAACCAAAACAGAAAATAATGTCCTGTTTCATCCTCTCCTTAATGATACAATCTACATAGAAGTTCTCCCAAAAATCCAGATGCCATTTGCTGAGTTAGGAGCAGGGTGATTGGAGGTAGGGAAGTAAAAGAGCTAAGACTTTACCTGAAATAGACTGGAACGCTCAAAAAGATGTTTAAAATGAGAACGATGAAGATACCATTAATTAAAAATCAACCTGCTTCACAGCCTAGATCAAAGAGTAGAGATTCATGCAAAAGATAAAAACAGTTATAGAAAGTTAAAAAGCACATGTATTTTCCTACAGATATAGAAAGTTAAAAAGCACATGTATTTTCCTGAATATCTGAGTATAATATTTATTACGATGCGAAACTTTTTAAAAATTAATAGACTTTATATTTTAGAGAAATTTTAGGTTTAAAGAAAAATTGAGCATAAAAAATGCAGAAAGTTATCATATTCCCCTTCATCACCATCCTGAACAAAGTTTTTCCTGTTATTAACATCTGACATTAATGTGGTACATTTGTTGCAGTTGATAAACCAATATTGACACATTACTGTAAACTTCATGGTTTACATTATTACTCACTCTGTACATTATATGAGTTTTAGAAAATGGATAACATGTATCCACCACTACAACATCATATAGAATAGTTTATTACCCTTGACATTTCCTGTGCTCTACTTTTTCATCCCTCTCTTCCCCTCTCCTCCCCATGAGCCCTGGAAACCACTGATCTTTTTCCTGTCTCCACAGTTTTGCCTTTTTCAGAATGTCATATAGTTGGAATCATACAGTATTCAGCTTATTCAGATTGGCTTATTTCATTTAACAGTATGCACTAAATTTTCCTTAATGTCTCTTTATGGCTAGATAATTCATTTCTCTTTATCAATGAATAATATTCCATTGTATGATACACCACAGTTTATTCATTCACCTAGTGAAGTATATTTAGGTTGTTTCTAGGTTTGGGCAATTGTGATAAAAGCTGCTATAAACATCCATGTGCTTGGTGTGTGTGTATGTGTGTGTGTGTGTGTAAAAGTAAGCTTTCAACTAATTTGGTAAATATAAAGGAACACAGTTGCTGAATCATATGGGAAGTTTGTGTTTAGTTTTGCAAGAAACTGCCAAATGGTCTTCCATAGTGGCTATAATGTTTTGACTTCCACCAATGATGAAGGAGCGTTCCTGTTAGTCCACATTTTCTCCAGGATTTGGTGTTTTTGGTGCTCTGGATTTTAGCCATTCTAATAGATATGTAGTGGCGAATCCAATGAAAGCTCCAGTAAGAGATTACTTTTCACTGAATTGAACAAATTTTAGATTTTTAAAAAATAAATATTAAAGCATAATCAGTGAGGGCATGGGGAAGATCTCCTTATCAGCAATCAAGCCAGAATATAAATCAGAAGTAATTAAAATAGTATGATAAGAATAGATAAATAGGAAAGCATATCAGAATAGAGATCCCAAATACAAATCCCTACATATGAGGAAGTTTTGTATGTGATAAAAGTAATCTTTGAAATAGAAAAAGAGAGATTTTATTTCCACCTAGGTTGTAAAAAACCACAGGAGAACATCACTCATTTCATAACACTGGACACAAGCTGGGCAATCTATTCAAGCCTAACTTTCACTTGAGTCTGCCAGGTGGTTGAGATTATGCAACTAGGTGAACTGAATTCCAATGGTGACAATTCCTTGTAAGAGGGATGGAATGCACAAACTGTTTCTTTTTTGACAGAACACGGAAGAAGAGACAGTGATTGAAAAACTAAGAGGAAATCAGTTAAAAATCTTAGAGAAATTTTAAAGGTTAAGTGCAGGTTTACACAATTGCTTAGAACCTCTGGGATCCTCAAACCACAAGGGGAATCCATACTTATCCACAACCTGTTTTCTGAGACTATCACCTGGGTGCTTAATAGAAAGATAGACCTGTGAGAGACCTGCTTTGGACAGAGGAACAGACTATTACCCACTTTTCACACCCAACACAAATATGAAGTAAAAATCTTAAGCCACCATGGAGACTCCAGAAATCTTCCTGTTCCCAGGGCATAAACAAAGATCCATTGCCTTCTGGGGAAGATAAGCCAACTCCCAAGGGCAAGAGGACCCTTTTACTCCTTATTGCAGGCAAAGGTAATAGCCACTAAGGAAAGAGCCCAACCAAAGTTGCCTGCCTCTGTGAGAGGGAAAGGAAAGCCACTGGTGACAGAAACTAACACTAATACGAAGCAGAGATCTGTTAATACTGGGGGTGCAAAAGGCAATTTTATCCCATTAAAATAACACTGATAAAAAGGCAGCAAAATTCCTTACGGCAGGAAAGAGGTACTGGAACTTGAGAAAGCCGCAATGCTGAGGTTCAGATAGATAGCATCTGCCTAAGAGGAAAGTTGAAATAAAAACAAAGAATCCACCCCTGGCCACAAATGAAGCATAACAGAGTGTAACAAATAGCAGCAGTGTATCACTAAGAGAGTGACTGACCAAGAAAAAAGAAAGAAAGGATAACTTCTTTGTGGTACAAGCATGCAGAGCCTATTGAAAGTATTCAATGGAGCAGCAACAGTGAGAAAAACTCCTTAGGGATCCAAGAGTTTCAATAAGATCACGACTATAAGCAGCCCTCTGCTAAAAAATTTGAAATCTGTGGTGAGTTAAAGGTATAGATACAACAAAACCCCAAACAACAGCTCAATTACTGCTTAAATTGACTTTAAAATGCATTACAATAACCTGAACAAAGAAGAGGTATACTCACTTATTTGAGAAAACACTATTTAGCCTCGTCTGTGGGTTCTTCTCTATGTTGCCTTGCATAAAATAAATAAAACGTATAAGACCCCACAAACATCAAGTATAAGCAGTTAATTGCCAGGGATATATCAATCAACAGAGCCACAACCAAAAGTTGGCCAGATATTAAGACTATTAGTTAAGTCCTTTAAAATATGTACTATAAAATACTTCAACAAATGTAGTGGAAAAAGCAGGCAACATGTATAAACCCATTAACAACTTTAGCAAAGAAATGGGATGTAACAAAAATCAAAGGGAATTTATAGAAATTTAAATGAGAATATTAAACATAATTTCTAGACTGAACATCAGCAGAATGGACACAGTAGAGGTGTCACAAACTTCCAGATAGGTTGAATAATATAAATTATCTTAAATGAAATATAAAAAGCAAAAGAAAAGAGAAAAAAAAGAGTTAATGAGAGCAGAGAATCCAAGTGCTAGGAGACAAACATACAATAATAATTGTCTAATACATATGAAATTGAGTCCTGGAGCGGGAAAGAAAATGGATGAAACAAAAGAAATATTGGAAAAGATAATGGTCAAGATGTTTCCAAAATTAAGGAAAGATAACAAAGCAAAGATCCAAGAACCTCAGCTACCCACAAGAATAAAAATAGACAAACTAACAAAAACACTAAAATTAAACAAGCAGCCCATGGTGGGCAGTAGGGAGAGGGGTAGGTAAGAAACACTGGTTAAAAAACAAAGATACAAGAAAAAACAGACTTCTTATTGGAAACTATGCAAGCCAGAAAACTATGGAGTGACATTATTAAAGTCCTAAAAGGGGGGGAAATGTTAACCTAGAAACTTGTATCTAGCAAAGATATATCTTAAAAATTAATAATAAAATGAAAGTATCTGCAAATGAAGCTGACAGAATTAATTGACAGTAGACCAACAATGACTCAATGACAATGACTTTACAATAAATAATAAAAACAGTTCAATAGCCCTAAAATTATGCCAAATGGAAATTCAAATCTAAACAAAGAAATAAGAGAAGACGTGGTGAGATTTATAGTAAGTAAAATACATTTTCTTATTTTCTGTTTCTTTTAAAGACAATTATCCTAAGACAAAATTGTAATAATATATTGTGGGGTTTATTAGTAAGTTGTATGAAACAATTGTATAAATGATAAGAGGAAGGAAACTATAGTATTGTAAAGATTTTTCTGAGACATGAAGTGACATGCTATTATTTAATGGTACACTATGATGAGCTGAAGATTTATATTGTATGCCCAGAAAAACACTAAATAATAAGAAGTAGTGTAATTAACAAAGCAACAGCAGAGATGAAAATTTGAGGAAAATCCTCAATTATCACCTAAAAAAGTAAGAAAAAAGAAAACAGAGAAACAAAGGAATTGCAAATTAAAAAATGGTAGCTTGGAAATCGACTATACCAATAATTTTATTAAATCTAAATAGAAAAAACTATACCATTGAAAGGCAGAGATTTTCAAAATGAATAAAAAGCCACAATGATTACATACACTTTAAAAAACCGATTTCAAATATAAAGATATAGATCATTCAAAACTAGAAGAATAGAAATAGACATATCATGTAAACAGTAAGCATAAGCGCGCTTGAAAAAATATTTCACTATCAGACAAAATTATTTTAGCCCAAAGAAGTTTTACTAGGGATATAAGTAGAAATTTTATAATGTTTGTAGAGAGGAAAATATATTAAAATATATAACTTCCCTAAATTTTTGGCAGTGAACAACAGAGATTTATAATAAATAAAGCCAAAACCAATATATCTTAAAGGAGAAGTAGAAAAAATACACAAATATACTGGGATACTTCATCATTCTTCTTGCAGTTGTTGATAGAAGGAAAACACAAAGCGTCAGAAAGGTGTAGAACACTTGAAGAATACTGTCAACCAAATGAGCATAATTGATGTTTTATGGAAAACTTTACTGTCAAACTTCAAGTTTATTTAACCATTTCCTTGGAGGATTTTTTTCTCTTATACACAGTGCAACAATGACCATTCTTGCGCATTCTTTTACATGCATCTTTGGAGCTATATATAACTTACATATGATTCAAATATGATATTTTATATATTACAAATATATACACATATAAATGTATGTATGTATGTATGTATGTATGTGTGTGTGTGTATAGATAGATAGATAGATAGATAGATAGATAGATAGATAGATAGATAACTTTAGATGAGGGATTGCCAAAGGTAAAATCTATTACCAGATTGTAGCATTCAAACATGAAATTCTATTTTTCACTTTATCTAAAGCATACTTGCTAGGAATTGCTAAAACATTTCTCAGTTTATTTTCCTATTTCTGACTTTCTCTTTATTGAATATATGCCATTTTTGTTCACAAGCAAATTTGTAGTGGCACATCCACTTCTGTCTTTAAACAAAATGAAAATAATTTTACCTTTTTTGTGGGGTTGCACAAAACTGAAATATTTAGCTGAGTCCTTGGCTCAACCATTTTTCTAGGCATTCATCAAAACGTTCAACTTCACACTCCAGTTCCAAAATGGTGGCATAGAAGCAAGATGGCTTCACTTCTCCCTCCTTGCACCAGAAAACCAAAAACAAATATACAGCACCAAAACTATTACCAGAAGTGATCTGGAACCCAAATATGAGAAAGAGACAGTTTCCAGGGCCACAGAAATAAAAATAATTAAAATAAAAAATAAACCTAGAACAGAGAGTAAAAGAACTGGACCTCTGCAACACCCCTCCCACAAATATACCCTGCACCAAGCACAGGAAAAATTTTTCTTCTACTCACGATTTCCAGACTGGCAAAACATGAGGTCAAGGACTACTAGCTTCGCTACCACCTCAGGTTCCCTGACAAGAGACCTGCCTCTGCCTCAACCCACAAGAAGCACTGGTAGTGCCGAAGTTACAAAAATTCCCGAGGACGGCCAGATACAAGTTGGGGAGGCAGAACTGGCATCCCCAGCTCTGGAAACTCTGTTCTATAACTTGGCCAGAGAAGACACCAAGTCAGAGCGTCTTTTTAGCAGCATCACACTGTAAGAGGCATGTTCCACAGGTCCTCTGGACACAAGCCCTTAGCTCACCTTCCCACACTGCCAGATATCCTCCTTGAGGCCTCTGCCATTTCGGATGAGCAGACCATTAATCCTTTACTAAAGTTGAGGCCAACCTGGGCTTAATATACCATCTAGTAATGAAAAGGAGGCAGTGACCTAGTAGAAAAAAATAAAATCAAAAACCACAAAGAATCTCTAAGCAAATATATCCCATAGAAAACAAAACAAGCCAGATAGATAAGACTGGGATAAATAACTAATTATTCAATGCAAACATATGACTGCACACACAAAAAAAGGGAACCATGACCCAAATGGACAAGGCAAGGAACCAGTAACTGACCCTAATGAGATAGCAATATGTGAGCTCTCTGACAAAGAATTAAAAATAGCACTTCTGAGAAAACTCAGTGATCTTTAAGATAACAGAAAAAAAGCAATTCATAAATTTATCAGGTAAATTTAACTAAGACATTGAAATAACTTAAAAAATCAAACAGAAACTATGAAACTGAGAAATATACACTTGCTGAACTGAAGAATTTACTAAAGGCTCCTAAAAGCAGAACAGATCAAGTAGAAGAAAAAAAATCATTGCACTCTAAAATGGACTATTTGAAATTACACAGTCAGAGGAGATAAAAATAGGAAAAAATGAAAAGTAATAAAAATAATCTACAAGATATAGAAAGTTGCCTCAAAGTGATCAAACCTAAGAATTACAGGTGTTCAGGAGGCCGAGGTGAGCAGATCACCTGAGGTCAGGAGTTCAAGACCAGCCTGGCCAACATGGTGAAACACCGTCTCTACTAAAAATACAAAAATTAGCCAGGCGTGGTGGCACATGCCTGTAATCCCAGCTACTTGGGAGGCTGAGGCAGGAGAATTGCTTGAACCTGGGAGGCAGAGGTTGCAGTGAGCCAAGATTGCGCCACTGCACTCCAGCCTGGGTGACAGAGCAAGACTCTGTCTCAAAAAAAAAAAAAAAAAAAAGAATTATAGATGTTCAAAAAGTAGTTGAACAAGAGCAAGGAGTAGAAAGCTTATTCAAAGAATAAGTGACAGAAAAATTTCCAAAATTTGAAAAAGATATAAATATTCAGGTACAGGAAGGGCAGAGCAATACCTAACAGATTTGACTCAAATAAGACTATCCCAAGGCATATAATTATTAAGCAGTAAAAGGTCAAAGACAAAGATAAAATTTGAAAAGCAGCAAGAGATAAAAAGCAAATACCATGTAAAAGAGCTCTAACTCATTTAACAGACTTCTTAAAGGAAACCACATAAGCCAGGAGAAAATAAGAGGACATTTTCAAAGAGCAAAAAGACAAATATCTGCCATTCAAGAATACTGTATCCAGCAAAGCTATCCTTCAAACACGAAGGAGAGATAAAGTATTTACCAAACCAAAAAGAAAAGAAAAACAAAATGCTGAGAGAATTTACCACCATCAGATTCATCTTACAAAAATAGCTAACGGAATTCTTCAATCTGAAAGAACAAAACACTAATGTACAAAAAGCAAATGTTTGAAAATATAAAACCTACTGGTAAAATTAAGTACACAGAAAACCCCAGCATACTCTAATACTGCAGCTGTGTTGTACAATCTACTTATAACACTAGTATGAAGCTTAAAAGACCAATCTATGAAAAACAATAATAGCTACAGCAATATGTTAAGAGATAGGCAATATAAAAATGTGTAAATTGAGACAACAAAAAGCCAAAATGTGGGGGATGGAGTTAAGGCATACAGTATTTTTAATATTTTCTTCGTATCTATTCTTTTTTGATGACCTAAGATAAGTTGTCATCTCCTTAAAATAATTTGTAATATCTATAAGATGAATCTTGTAAGACTCATGTTAACCACAATGAAGAAACCTATAGCAGATACACTAAAAGTAAAAAGCAACAAATTAAAAATACTATCAGGAAAAATCATTTAACGTCAAAGGGAGGCAGTAAGAAAAAGAATACAAGAATACAGGAGTTACCAAAATATGGTAATAGTAAGTCTTTACTTATCAATAATAACACTGAATGTAAATAGGCTCAATTCTCTAAATAAAAGGAACAGAGTCTCTGAATAGATGAAGAAACAAGACCCAAATACAGGCTGCTTGTAAGAAACCTGCTTCACCTATAAAGACACAATAGGCTGGACCGGAGGAGTGGGGAAAGATATTCCATACAAGTGGAAACAAAAAAAGAAGAGCAGGAGTAACTATACTTATATGAGATAAAATAGACTAAAAATCAAAGACTATAAAAAGTGACAAAGAAGATCATTATATAATAAGAATGTGGTCAACTCAGCAAGAGGATATTATAATTACAAGCGTCTATGCATCCAACACTGAAACTCTCAAGTACATAAAGCAAACATTAATAGATCTAAAGGGAGAGATAGACTGCAATACGATAATAGTAAGGGACTTCAACTATCTACTGTCAGTAATGGACAGATTATCCAGACAGAAAATCAGCAAAGAAATATTGGAGTTAAGTTTTACAGTAGACCAAATCAAACTAACAATTACAGAACATTTCACTTGATACAGTTCAGATATTTTTCCCCTGCAAAGCTCATGTTGAAATTTGATCCACAATATTGGAGGTGCAACCTAGTGGGAAGTGTTTTGGTCATGGGGGCAGATCCCTCATAAATGTCTTGGTGCCATTCTCACAGTAATGAGTGAGTTCTTGCTCAATGACTTCCCACAAGAACCAAGCCTTAAAAAGATCCTGGCACCTCCCTCATCCTCTCTCTCTTGCTCCTTCTCATCATAGGAAGTCTGTTCTCCTTTGCCTTCTGCCATTAGTGGAAGTCCCCTGAAGCCCTCACCAGATGTAGATGCTGACACCATTCTTTTTATACAGTATGCAAGACAGTGAGGAAGATAAGCTTATTTTCTTTATAAATTATCCAGCCTCAGATATTCCTTTATAGTAACACAGATAGACTAAGACATCACCCAACTACTACAGAATAAACATTCTATCATCAGCGCATGAAACATCCCCTAGAATATATCATATCTTGGGTCACAAAACAAGTCTCAACAAATTCAAAAAGGAAGAAATAATATTTGACTAAAATAGAAATCAGTAACAAGAGAAACCTCAGAAACTACACAAACACTTGGGAATTAATCAACATTCTCCTGAATGACAAATATATTAACAAAGAAATTAAGAAAAAAAATTAAAATAATTTTAAAAACAAATGAAAATGGAAATACAACACACCATAATCAATAGGATACAGCAAAAGCATTATTATGAAGAAAGTTTACAGCAATAAAGACCTACATCAGAAACTAAAAAGACTTCAAGTAAAAAACCTAACATTCCATCTCGAGGAATTAAAAAAGCAAGAATAAAACCACAAATTTTTAGAAAAAAATAATAAAAATCAGAGCATAAATAAATAAAATTGAGACTAAGAACAATACAGATAATCAAAAGAAGGTTGGTTTTTGAAAAGGTAAACAAAATTCACAAAAGTTTAGCTAGATTTAAAAAAAGAGAGAAGACCCAAATAAGTCAAATCAGAAATTAAACAGGAGAGACATCAACTGAAAGCAGAGAAATACGAAGAATCATTAAGACTATTATGAGTAAGTACATCAAAAAACTGGAAAGCCTGGAAGAAGATAATAAATTTCCACACACATGCAAACTATCAAGATTGAACCATGAAGAAATAGAAAATGTGACCAAACCAATAATGAGAAATGAGATCTAAGGCCATACTAAAAGATCTTCCATTTAAAGAAAAGCCCAGGACCTGATGACTTCACTGCTGAATTCGGCCAAACATTTAAAGAGGAACTAATACCAATTCTACTCAAACCCTCCAAAAATTGAAGCAATAGTAAAACTTTCAAGCTCATTCTATGAGGCTAACATTGTTCTGATACCAAAACCAGAAAAAGACACAACAAAAAACTGTAGGTCAATATCACTGGTGAACATAGATGCAAAAATTCTCAACAGAATACTAGCAAACTAAATTCAACATCACATTAAATAGATTATTTAATACGATCCAGTGGGATTCATTCTAGGGATGCAAGAATGTTTTAACATATTTAAATTCATAAATATGACACATTACATTAACAGATCCAAGAAAAATATCTTATGATCAGTTCAATAGATGCTGAAAAAGTATTCAATAGCATTTAACATCCCTTTATGATAAGAACCCTCAACAAACTGGGTATAAAACAAACATATTTCAAAATAATGAAAGGCATATGTGACCAACCAGCAGATAACATTGTACTGAATTAGGAAAAGTAGAAAGCCTTTCTTTTCTAAAATCTGGAAAACAACAAGAATCTCCACTTTCACCATTTTTATTTAATATAATACTGGAAGTCATGGCCATAACAGGCAACAGAAATAAATAAAGGGCATCTAAATAAGTAAAGGGCATCCAAATAGATAAAGTAGTCAAATTAGACTTGTTCACAGAAAACATGATCTTGTACTTAGAAAAATCTATAGACTCCACCAAAAGAATACTAGAACTGATAAATTCAGTAATGTTGAAGAATACAAACTCAACATACAAAACTCAGTAGTATTTACAATCACTACCAACAAATAATATGGAAAAGAAACAGAGGAATCCCATTTACAATAGCTATAAAGAATACAAAATAAAGAAGAATCAATTTAGCCAAAGTCGTGGATGACCTATTTAAGGAAAACTATAAAGTAATGATGAAATAAATGAAAGAGGGCCAGGTGCGGTGGCTCAGGCCTGTAATCCCAGCACTTTGGGAGGCAGAGGTGGGTGGATCACCTGAGGTCAGGAGTTCAGTACCAGTCTAGCCAACATGGTGAAACCCCATCTCTACAAAAATTAGCCAGGCATGATGGCAGATGCCTGTAATCTCAGCTACTCCGGAGGCTGAGGTGGGAGAATCACTTGAACCCGGGAGGCAGAGGTTGCAGTAAGCCAAGATCATGGCATTGCACTCCAGATTGGGTAACAGAGCAAGATAAAAAAAAAAAAAGAATGAAAGAAACGAAGGAAGGAAGGAAGGAAGGAAGGAAGGAAGGAAGGAAGGAAGGAAGGAAGGAAGGAAAGAAGGAACAAGGAAAGAAAGAAAGAGGGACGGAAGGAAGGAAGGAAAAAGAAAAAAGAAAAGAAAAGAATGAAAAAATGAAAGGGGACAAAAAACATGGAAAGATATTTCATGTTTATGGATTGGAAGAATTAACATTGTTAAAATAACAATATGGATTCAATGCAATCTCTATCAAAACATCAATGACATTCCTCACAGAAATAGAGGAAACAACACTAAAATTTATATGGAACCACAGAAGACCCTAAATGGCCAAAGCAATCCTGAGCAAAAGGAACAAAACTGGAGGCAGCCCACCAGCTGACATCAAGACATATTACAAATCTATAATAACCAAATCAGCACGGTACTAGTATAAAAACAGACATATAGACCATTGAAACAAAATAGCAAACTCAGATATAAATCCACATATTTACAACCAACTCCTTTTTGACAAAGGGGTCAAGACTGCACTGAAGTGAAAGGACAGTCTCTTCAATTAATCATGCTGAGAACCTGGAGAACCATAGGCAGAAGAATTAAAATAGATCCAAATCTCTCATTATGTACAAAAATAAAATCCGAATGGATTAAAGACTTAAATTTAAGACTTGAAACAATAAAACTCCTAGGAGAAAACATTGGAGAAACACTGCAGGATATTGGTCTGGGCATAGATATATTATGTGTAAGACCTCAAAAGCACAGGCAACCAAAACAAAATTAGACAAATATCATTACATCAATCTAAAAAGCTTCTGCACAGAATAGAAAACAACAAAGTGGAGAGAAAAACTCACAGAATGGGAGCAAATATTTGTAAACTACCTTTCTGACAAGGGTTTAATAACCACAGTACATAAGAGCTCAAGCAACTCAGTAGAAAAAAAAATCCAATTAGAAAATAGGCAAAGACCTGAATAGACATTTCTCAAAGGAAGACATACAAATGATCAACAGGCATGTGGAAAAATGATCAATATCACTAATCATCAGAAAAATGCAAACGAAAACCACAATGAGGTATTATATCACCTTAGTTGAGAGGTATTTTATCAAAGAGAGGTATCGAACAGATGCTGGCAAGGATCAGAGGAAGGGGAACCCTCACATACTGTTGGTGGAAATGTTGGTACAGTCATTATGGAAAATAGTATGGAGGTTCCTTAAAAAAACTAAAAGAAATACTACTATTATATGATACAGCAATTGCACTACTGGGTATATATCTGAAAGAAAGGAAATCCATATGTCAAAGAGATATCTACACTTTCACATTTATTGCAGCAATCTTCACAATAGCCAAAATATAGACTCAACTTAAGTGCTCATCGATGAACAAATAAAGAAAATGTGGTATACATGCACAATGGTACATTATTCAGCCATAAAAAGTAATACAATTCTGATATTTGCAGCAACATGATGGCCTGGAGATCACTACATTAAGTGAAATAAGCTAAGCACAGAAATACAGATATTTCTTGTTCTCACTCATATATGGAAGCTAAAAAAATAAGTGGATCTCATGAAGATAAAGAGTAGATTGGTGGCTGGCAGAGGCTGAGAAGTGTGGAAGAAGGAGGATTGAAGAGAAGTTGATTAATGCCTACAATATACAGTTTGATAGAAGCAGTAAAACCTATGTTTGATAGACCAGCAGGGAGAATCAGTCTATTATATATTTCAAAATAGCTGGAAGAGAATAATTAAAATATCCTAGCATAAAGAATATAAATATTTAGCATGATGGTTATCCCAATTACCCTACCTTGATCCATACATTTTATATTAGTGTATCAAATTATCATGTGTACCCTGAAAATACACATATTATGAATCAATAAAAAATAATACTTAAACATGAATAAAACATTGTTGAAAAATCTTTTAAAAGCAATGTGAATTCAGGGTTATGTTAATTGATTATTCGCCTGTTCTCAAAATTGTTGATGGTGGCAATAAATCTTTGTTTGAAATTTCTGTTTTTATTATCCTACTCTAGCTCTCTCTGTCTTTCTACTCACTGCCATCTTTCAGAGCCATCAATAGTTGTGTTAAGTGCACAAATACTTCAACAAATTCTGAGTATGTCTAGTGTGGACTAAATTTCTTTTCTTCAAATGGCACTTCTCACATAGGGCCTTTATAAATAAAGTTATCTTTTTGCTTTTAGGCCAACAGATTATCAGCACAATGAAAGTCATTCATGTGTATGGAATATAATTTTTTATTTCCCAAGTATCTATTTCTTATTGTACTCCTACACCACTTGAACCCCAGACCAAAGAGGAGCCCGAAGCACTGCTTAAAATAGTTAAATTAATGCTTCATTCTATAAAGAACAAGATAAAAATAAGTGATATTTACAATTATGAAGTAATATGCAGTGCAGTAGAGTGATTTGTGATATATCTGTGCCCACAAAAATGCTGGACTTCAGATACTTTTATTATATTACAATGGCTTTTTTTCATGTCTCTGCAGTCTTGAGCTATGTGTCTTAATGGTATTCACTAGCTTCTACATCTTTGTTTTGCACAATCCTTTCTCTGGACTTCTCAAATAGTACTTCACTTGGTAGAAGGAGCTTTCATGTTATTAAAGAACTTACTGTAAGATGATTAAATTACTTTCCTAGCTTCAGCATGCTGAGATTTTTATATTTGGCTATTTTAGGTTCACAATTCTTTTTTATTCAATCAATATTTATTGATGTATCCATTCCCTCAATATTTTTAAACAGCTATTATGATGTAACTATTGCTTTGGAATGTACTTGACCTCGTGGAGCTTATGCTTAAGTGAGGGGTTCATATTATAACATAGTATTTTACTAATAGGTACTAAATATTCATTGAATAGACATGAAATTATCTTTTGACATTATAAGAGTAGAAATACAGTTTGGGTGTAAATACATCTGCTTTCTTCATGTTTAGGTATCCAGAAATAATGTTTAATGTAAACACATTATTCTAAATGTTATAGGATGATGACATGGGTAGGGGCCCTTGAACAAAATAAAGAAGAATGTTTTTTGTTTCAATTAGATCCCAATTGTTTTCTCAGTCTACTTGTAGTCTATTAAAGTTTTTCTTCCCCTAATTGCTCTACTTGTGAATAATAAGGCTACTGTAGTGAGTTTAAAAAATGCTAAAAATTAATGCCTTAGCTCTCCCATTAAGATTGATACTTAGCCTTTACAACCTCACTTACTGAAAGTTAAATCTTTATCAAGATGAATCATGCTTTTGACATTTATGTTTTCAGAAATGTTAGCAGAAAATTGATATAATACTGATAATAATTATGACATTAAATCATATTTATATGCTTTGTTCATCCTAAATCTTTAAACATTTTATAAAATCAGAAACTTTTTTCATTAAACTGGATAAAGATAGTACATTTTCAAATTAAATAATGCAAAGTATTACCAAAAGAACACTTGTAAATTTCTGGAGGTAATGAGTTTAGAAGGAAACGTTTTTCATATTCTATCACAATTAACCTTCACAGAGTTAAGTACAATGAGACTCTGCCCTCATGGAGTTTGCTCAGAAACTCTAGGAGGCAGGGATTAATGGCATTTCTTTGGCGATAAGGGAATTGAGAGACAGAGATTTTATCTTTCCCAATATTATACAGTTAACAACAGAGTTTGGATTCAAACTCAGTCTTCAGCCTTTTTCATTAAAACAATTATTTAGTAATCTTCAAAATACCATGCTACTCCAAACTCTCTCAGTCACAGAAGAGTTTAAACATTTGCTGTATAATTTTAAATAGGCAAAATAAGCCTCTCGTTGTCCCCATTTCCTATGATCCATTTTCCTGACTTATCTGTAAATTTCCTCTAATAACTAGAGACAAAGCCAGTACATTGGTGATGGCAGTGGCTGACTGTCTGGAGCGCGGCTGCGAAAATGCGGGCTGCAGCAGGGGAGGTGTGGCTGGGGCTGAGCCCTCCTGGGAGCCGGTGGGAGCTGGGAACAGGAGGAAGCCCCGCCACCTTCCAAGTTGGAGTGGTGGGAGCCCCGCTCTCCTGGGCACAGCTGCAGCCACCCAGCCATGGCTGCAGACCCAGGTATCTTTGCACTATCGGGGGCGGGAACCCCCCAACGCCCACAGGCTTGAAAGTGCCTGGTCCTGCTGGTTGGCCTCTCCCCACTCCCAGTGCCCACACCAATTTTGGAGCAAAGTTGTGGCCAAGCCCAGGGTGCTTTCACAACCCAACCAGATGTGGAGGTGCTTGGGGCAGCACCGACACGCCAGCCCCCTGTTGCCTCGGCCTCCTTTAGACATTGGGTGCTGATGAGCACAGGAGGGAGGCCAAGAGGGGGCTAAGGGCAGCTTAGCTTGTGTCTGCAGGTGCCTCTTGGCATGAACAGCCTGAGCGCCATGGGCACAGTGGACAGCAGGTAATGGCAGCAGGAGGCAGACACGGTCCCTGGTGGAAAAGGGCAGGTCCACGGTGAAACCCCACCTTCAGGCCAGGAACTGCCTTAAGCCTGGGGGCTGGGAGTGAGAACTTACTGTGCTTTTTCCAGGGCCACCCATGGCCACCCATGGCCCAATCAGCATGCCCTTCCTCCCCTCTGAACCCCCATAAAAACCCGGACTCAGCCAGACTCAGGCAGATGATGGGACGACCTGCCTGCGGAGAGGAGCTACCCACTGTGGGTCTTCTCTCTTCTGAGAGCTACACACTCGTCCGGACAACTTGCCTGCGGAGAGGAGCTACCCGCTGCCGATCTCTCTGAGCTGTCCTGCAGCTCAATAAAGCATCTCTTCACCTTGATCACCGTCCAGCTGTCTGTGTACCTCATTCTTTCTGGATGCAGAACAAGAATTCAGGATCCCCTTAATTGGGGGGCTGAAAGAGCTGTAGCACAAACAAGGCTGAAATATGGCCCTTACTTGCCTCCTTGCAGGAGATGAGAGGAAGAGAAAAGAGAAAGGGAGAAGAGCTGTGGCCCTTCAGAAGCCCAGACCTAGGAGTTCCCTGATCCAGGACTGTGACACCCTCTTTGGGGCTCTGTGGTTCCTGGCATCTCTAAGCTTCCAGGCACCACTGCATTCCCTGGTGCCAGCTGTGGAAGCTGCTTGTGGTATGCCTGGTCCACCCACAGCCTTGCAGGGAGCCAGAGCCCATGCCGGCTCCTGGATCTGCCAGCCCCGCTGTAGCCAGCATGCCTGGCTCTATGCCAAGGCCGGCCACCATGCTTGCTCACTCATGCACCCCTCACTGCTTTGCTCTTGGTTCGCCCTTGGCAGACGTGGGATCTGGGCCAGTAGCATGAACCATGCACAGCCTGCCAGTCCTAGTGGGCAGAATGAACCCAGTAGGTGTGATCAAAACTCAAGCAGGGATGCCAGGATGCCAATGGCCACAGAGGTTTCCGGCTGGTGAAATGACACCCCAAGGATCCTGTGACATTGGCACTCATGTTGCTGCCTTTATCACATTTATATACAGTATGTGGATTTCAAAAACTTTCTCAAAAATTGTGTGGAAATGTAATTATAAAATTGCACAATTGTATAATATAATTATAAAATGTTTTCTACATGTGTTTTCCTGCATTAAGTATTCTACAAGATTGAAGCAATCATCAGTATTGAATGAATTAGTTATATTGGTAAAAGTTTTATTTAGTTTCTGAATGCTGACACTTAGACATAGTTAAAGACTTTTAGAGACTATATTCTAATAGGATGGATATTCCACTGGCGAATGTAATGGTAGTACACATAGTACAGAATTTTCAGAAGTTTAGTGAATTGACAATTAAAACATACTTTAAAAAATCTGTATGTTGATATATATAGAATATACTCTCCATCATATGTTCACTAGTGTAACCTAAATCTACTTTTAGTCCCACTCTTTTAGGAGTATGGGGGTAGGGTTTATATGTGTGATTCCTTTTCTGAGATGAATTTGTGTTTTCTCAAAGAAAAAATTTACTGAACTAGATGTAAGATGTCTTACATTCAGTTCTTACTCTATTCTGTTACTAAGTGTATGTGCAACTGTAGAAAACACACTAATTCTCTTTAAGATTAGTTTCTAATTTTGGACAACGAAAAGACAACTCTGTGATCTCCAAAGCTGTAAGACTAATTAATCTATTTTGCTTGTGCCATTCTGTGTTCCTTTTAATTATTACTTATATGAATTCCGTATGAATAGATATTTGCTGTGAAAGAAACGTAAGCAAATAACTCAAGTAGAAACAAAAGCCCAAACCCATTTGAAATATTTATCCATATTTTAAAATTTCAATATATGTATCTATATTTATATCTATACTTATACATGTATAACTTCTGCATTTTTTCAGCATAAATTAACTGTATGATGTCTTTTATTCTTTGGCCTACTTATTCACTTATCAATTTTTCTAGGATAATTTTATTTATTTGTAAATATGCAAAAATACAGATTATTTTTGCCATATACAAGTTATTTTATTCTATGATACATCCTTGTTTTCATTTCACTTCTCTATGTTTTATATCTATCTTTTTAGTGATGACTTGAAATTTGTATGACATTTAATATTAAATTGAATACCCTACAAAAGCAATGAAAAATAACTGCTTCAGTCTGATCAGACTTCTCTTACCTAAAATGTTCTTTTTCCCATATAATGTATTTAACCATATGTTATATCTCCCAAATAAGTCATTGTTTAGATATCTTTAGTACATCTAATGCCTGTTTAAATTTACCTACATATTTACTATTGCTCTCATTATTTAACTATTGTATCTCAGTCACTCCCTTATTTGGTTGTTTAAGTAAAAATTTATTAGTGGTGAAGTCCCTCAGTTGTTTCCTCAAAATAATTTTAACTTATCCTTGTCCTTTACTGACGTTAAAAGCACTTATAATTCTGGGTTAATAGTGGTTTCTCTCGGCATTCTAATAATACACTGTGCTGTATTCTTTATTCTTGCTTCAGAAAAGTTTGCATTCTATTTAATTGTCACTCTACTTTTTCTCTGGCTGTTTATAAGAATTATTTTTCTCTAGTGTAATACACATTTAGGATAATGTATTTCTTTAAGTGTGAATTTACATTTTTCTTCTTCTCATTGTGCTTGCGCAATTTAAGAATGTGTTTTACACATTTTGAAAAATAACTTGCTCTTATTTCTTTGAACATTGCTTCTTTCCTTCTATTGTTATTGTTTCATTCTGAAACTGTTTGAGATAAAATTTGACCTATCATTTTCTATGAAGTTTTTTCTTATTTTGTATTTTCCCTCTCTACATGTCCCATCCACTTCCAAAGCATAATTAAAATAAATAAAATTTTATTTTATGTTTTTAACAAAATTTCAAAACTATACATCACATATATATTCATGAGTGATTTCGCTTGATTTTTAAAAAAATCTACATTAAAAGATAAATTTCAGTAAATTATCAGAGTTGTTTAGTATCTTTATTTCCTTATATGATATTTACATAATACTCTATTCAGGTTATAAATACTGTAAAATCCCTGGCTTGATCACTATACAAGTAACAAAATTGCACTTGTATCTCATACATTTGCATACATAAAAAAGACGTGCAAAAAATGAAAATATAAAATAGTTATGAGGGCAAGAAAGGTTTGATTCTTTATTATGTTTAATTTTATTCTATTTCATTCCAAAATATTTTGATTATTGGCATTAAGTTGCAAAAGCTGTATTAGCAACAATTACTAAGGTTTAATTGTAACTTTGACTCTCCTTTCTTAAATTCCTTCTTCCTTGAGTTGGAATATATCCTCAAGTCATATCCATAGTATGAGACAAAACATTTGCAACCAGTATAACCTTAAACGAATTGTATCTAAAATATGTAAAGAAGAGTTGCAATCAATTAAGACAGGAAATACAAAAAGAAAGTGCACAGACTGAGCAACAGAGCGAGACTCCATTTAAAAAGAAAAGAAAAAAGAAAAAGTCCAACTCTGCCTCACTTACTCTCTGGTGTCTGCATGGCTTATTATTCTAGGTTATGGGACAAGAACCCAGCACTCGCTGGCGGTGAGAGTAAAAGAGCTGTAACACTCCCTCCTGCTTGCTGAACAACAGGAGTGAAAAAGCTGCAACACTAAGAATGAATTCCACATTGTGAAAAGGTTGAAAAAAAAAAGAGTAAAATAAAATGTTATGACATATCCAATTACATAAAATTCAAGTTTCAGAGTCTATATAGGTTTTATTGAAACCCAGCCACCCCGCTTTGATTGCATTTGTTTATGCCTGTTTCAGTGTTATAATGGAAGAATTGAGTAGTTGTGAAAGAGAATACATGGCCTGAAAATCTAAAATATTTCTCTTCTAGCCCTTTGCAGAAGATGGCTGTTAGTCCCTAGTTCTGATGATGGGCCTAAGAGCCAAGGTCACCTGGTCACATGCTGTGAGAAGTCTAAGCCTTGAGGAGAAAAATTAGACCCTAATTAATACCGATTTCTTTTCCCTAATGCAGGGAAAATGTGTGACCATACTAGTTGGATGTGAAAATCGCTACCTGCCAATCACTGTTATGCATCTCCTCTTTCCTCCCTTGTTAAAAGGAGTGTTTACTCCAGGTATCTCCCCATTTTACTTTGACTGATGAGAGACAGACAACATTTCACTTTAATTTACAGACCATCAGTGTTATGGAATCCATATTCAAGGTACCTTATCCACACTTGATACTAACGTAGTTATTGAGATCATGGACTTTAAGGTGATGTGTAATGGAATAAGACATCATATCCAAGATCTCAAGGCAAGACTGAGTGCAACTTACATGGGCTGCTTATGTAAATCATCATGGCCAGAGTTTCTCCACAACATCTGCCATTCTGTATGCTCTGACTTTGTCACACCTCCTGGAAGGTCTCTATTTGCTCTCTCAAAAATCTGAATGAGCCCAGTGATAGATGTGCTCATTAGAATACAGAAAAAAGTGATACTCAGGCTTTTATTTTCTACCTTTTTGAAAACCAACTTCCAACTAAGAAAAGCTACTACTCTAAACCTGCCATGCTGTGAAAATTCCAAGCAAGGATTAGCACCAAGAGACCAGTGAGCACGAAAGCAATATAAAGAGGCCATCTTCCAAGTGCATGGCCTTCCATTCACATTTGGCCAAGTTGATGACACAAGGTTCAGATTTAAGCTGATGCCACAGTGGTTCATGATTCCACTGAACCCTTCCCAAATTCCTGTTGCACAAAATCTTGAATAGGATAAAAACATTACTAAGTTTTGAGTAGTGGTTATGGAGCAATAGCCATTGCAAGTGTCTATTATTCATGATTTCTGGGTCTGTTTACAAAGTTTACATGCAAACTTGAGCATCAGAGTGGTTCTCTAAATATGAAGTAGATCAACTGGAATTTCAAACCAGGTCTGATTAACTTTAAATTTTGTGATCCTCTCACAGTGATTCCATATTTTCAGGCCACATATAAAAAATGAGAGTGATGGGAGCACCCACAGACCTTTTAGGATTTTTAGTTTGTCAGCTTAGGGGATTTTCAGCTCATTTTTTTCATACATTTATTTATTTGTTCCATAAATAAAAAATGCCAGGCACTAGTCTAGATACTACATATTTAAAGTGGACTGAAATAGATACAACCTAGTCCTAACAGAACATATACTTTAGTAAGACAGATTGATATCAATAAAATAATTACCCAAATAATCAATGTGATTAATTAAAAGTATTATAATTAAAATTGAGAAATGAAATGAAATTCAATCATTTGTAAACAAACGTTATAAAAATTATAATTTAAGACTTACTGTCTGCCCAATTTTATTTAAATGGTGAGTATAAAATAATGACAAATGAGATTCAGTCTTTTTGGTCAAAAAATCATTTTACTGCAGTGGAAAAACAGAAATATGTAAGAAAAGCATAACTTTTTTTTTTTTAGTTAATAAGTGGTAGAATTTTAATTCAATACTGTTAATCCTTACATTTCTAAAATGATAGTATTTTTCTTTTTTTTCTTTTTTTTATTATTATTATACTTTAAGTTTTAGGGTACATGTGCACATTGTGCAGGTTAGTTACATATGTATACATGTGCCATGCTGGTGCACTGCACCAACTAACTCGTCATCTAGCATTAGGTACATCTCCCAATGCTATCCTTCCCCCCTCCCCCAACCCCACAACAGTCCCCAGACGGTGATGTTCCCCTTCCTGTGTCCATGTGTTCTCATTGTTCAATTCCCACCTATGAGTGAGAATATGCGGTGTTTGGTTTTTTGTTCTTGCGATAGTTTACTGAGAATGATGATTTCCAATTTCATCCATGTCCCTACAAAGGACATGAACTCATCATTTTTTATGGCTGCATAGTATTCCATGGTGTATATGTGCCACATTTTCTTAATCCAGTTTATCGTTGTTGGGCATTTGGGTTGGTTCCAAGTCTTTGCTATTGTGAATAATGCCACAATAAACATACGTGTGCATGTGTCTTCATAGCAGCATGACTTATAGTCCTTTGGGTATATACTCAGTAATGGGATGGCTGGGTCAAATGGTATTTCTAGTTCTAGATCCCTGTGGAATCGCCACACTGACTTCCACAATGGTTGAACTAGTTTACAGTCCCACCAACAGTGTAAAAGTGTTCCTATTTCTCCACATCCTCTCCAGCACCTGCTGTTTCCTGACGTTTTAATGATTGCCATTCTAACTGGTGTGAAATGGTATCTCATTGTGGTTTTGATTTGCATTTCTCTGATGGCCAGTGATGGTGAGCATTTTTTCATGTGTTTTTTGGCTGCATAAATGTCTTCTTTTGAGAAGTGTCTGTTCATGTCCTTCGCCCACTTTTTGATGGGGTTGTTTGTTTTTTACTTGTAAATTTGTTTGAGTTCATTGTAGATTCTGGATATTAACCCTCTGTCAGATGAGTAGGTTGCGAAAATTTTCTCCCATTCTGTAGGTTGCCTGTTCACTCTGATGGTAGCTTCTTTTGCTGTGCAGAAGCTCTTTAGTTTAATTAGATCCCATTTGTCAATTTTGGCTTTTGTTGCCGTTGCTTTTGGTGTTTTAGACATGAAGTCCTTGCCCATGCCTATGTCCTGAATGGTAATGCCTCGGTTTTCTTCTAAGGTTTTTATGGTTTTAGGTCTAACGTTTAAGTCTTTAATCCATCTTGAATTGATTTTTGTATAAGGTGTAAGGAAGGGATCCAGTTTCAGCTTTCTACATATGGCTAGCCAGTTTTCCCAGCACCATTTATTAAATAGGGAATCCTTTCCCCATTCCTTGTTTTTGTCAGGTTTGTCAAAGATCAGATAGTTGTAGATATGCGGCGTTATTTCTGAGGGCTCTGTTCTGTTCCATTGATCTATATCTCTGTTTTGGTACCAGTACCATGCTGTTTTGGTTACTGTAGCCTTGTAGTATAGTCTGAAGTCAGGTAGTGTGATGCCTCCAGCTTTGTTCTTTTGGCTCAGGATTGACTTGGCAATGCGGGCTCTTTTTTGGTTCCATATGAACTTTAAAGTAGTTTTTTCCAATTCTGTGAAGAAAGTCATTGGTAGCTTGATGGGGATGGCACTGAATCTCTAAATTACCTTGGGCAGTATGGCCATTTTCATGATATTGATTCTTCCTATCCATGAGCATGGAATGTTCTTCCATTTGTTTGTATCCTCTTTTATTTCCTTGAGCAGTGGTTTGTAGTTCTCCTTGAAGAGGACCTTCACATCCCTTGTAAGTTGGATTCCTAGGTATTTTATTCTCTTTGAAGCAATTGTGAATGGGAGTTCACTCATCATTTGGCTCTCTGTTTGTCTGTTGTTGGTGTATAAGAATGCTTGTGATTTTTGCACATTGATTTTGTATCCTGAGACTTTGCTGAAGTTGCTTATCAGCTTAAGGAGATTTTGGGCTGAGACAATGGGGTTTTCTAGATATACAATCATGTCGTCTGCAAACAGGGACAATTTGACTTCCTCTTTTCCTAATTGAATACCCTTTATTTCCTTCTCCTGCCTAATTGCCCTGGCCAGAACTTCCAACACTATGTTGAATAGGAGTGGTGAGAGAGGGCATCCCTGTCTTGTGCCAGTTCTCAAAGGGAATGCTTCCAGTTTTTGCCCATTCAGTATGATATTGGCTGTGGGTTTGTCATAGATAGCTCTTATTATTTTGAAATACGTCCCATCAATACCTAATTTATTGAGAGTTTTTAGCATGAATGGTTGTTGAATTTTGTCAAAGGCCTTTTCTGCATCTATTGAGATAATCATGTGGTTTTTGTCTTTGGCTCTGTTTATATGCTGGATTACATTTATTGATTTGCGTATATTGAACCAGCCTTGCATCCCAGGGATGAAGCCCACTTGATCATGGTGGATAAGCTTTTTGATGTGCTGCTGGATTTGGTTTGCCAGTATTTTATTGAGGATTTTTGCATCAATGTTCATCAAGGATATTCGTCTAAAATTCTCTTTTTTGGTTGTGTCTCTGCCTGGCTTTGGTATCAGGATGATGCTGCTGGCCTCATATAATGAGTTAGGGAGGATTCCCTCTTTTTCTATTGATTGGAATAGTTTCAGAAGGAATGGTACCAGTTCCTCCTCGTAGCTCTGGTAGAATTCGGCTGTGAATCCATCTGGTCCTGGGCTCTTTTTGATTGGTAAGCTATTGATTATTGCCACAATTTCAGATCCTGTTATTGGTCTATTCAGAGATTCAACTCCTTCCTGGTTTAGTCTTGGGAGAGTGTATGTGTTGAGGAATTTATCCATTTCTTCTAGATTTTCTAGTTTATTTGCATAGAGGTGTTTGTAGTATTCTCTGATGGTAGTTTGTATTTCTGTGGGATCAGTGGTGATATCCCCTTTATCATTTTTTATTGCATCTATTTGATTCTTCTCTCTTTTTTTCTTTATTAGTCTTGCCAACGGTCTATCAACTTTGTTGATCCTTTCAAAAAACCAGCTCCTGGATTCGTTAATTTTTTGAAGGGTTTTTTGTGTCTCTATTTCCTTCAGTTCTGCTCTGATTTTAGTTATTTCTTGCCTTCTGCTAACTTTTGAATGTGTTTGCTCTTGCTTTTCTAGTTCTTTTAATGGTGATGTTAGTGTGTCAATTTTGGATCTTTCCTGCTTTCTCTTGTGGGCATTTAGTGCTATAAATTTCCCTCTACACACTGCTTTGAATGAGTCCCAGAGATTCTGGTATGTTGTGTCTTTGTTCTCGTTGGTTTCAAAGAACATCTTTATTTCTGCCTTCATTTCGTTATGTACCCAGTAGTCATTCAGGAGCAGGTTGTTCAGTTTCCATGTAGTTGAGCGGTTTTGAGTGAGATTCTTAATCCTGAGTTCTAGTTTGATTGCACTGTTGTCTGAGAGATAGTTTGTTATAATTTCTGTTCTTTTACATTTGCTGAGGAGAGCTTTACTTCCAAGTATGTGGTCAGTTTTGGAATAGGTGTGGTGTGGTGCTGAAAAAAATGTATATTCTGTTGATTTGGGGTGGAGAGTTCTGTAGATGTCTATTAGGTCGGCTTGGTGCAGAGCTGAGTTCAATTCCTGGGTATCCTTGTTGACTTTCTGTCTCATTCATCTGTTTAACATTGACAGTGGAGTGTTAATGTCTCCCATTATTAATGTGTGGGAGTCTAAGTCTCTTTGTAGGTCACTCAGGACTTGCTTTATGAATCTGGGTGCTCCTGTATTGGGTGCATATATATTTAGGATAGTTAGCTCTTCTTATTGAATTGATCCCTTTACCATTAAGTAATGGCCTTCTTTGTCTCTTTTGATCTTTGTTGGTTTAAAGTCTGTTTCATCAGAGACTAGGATTGCAACCCCTGCCTTTTTTTGTCAGTGTGCTGTATTCAGGAAACCCATCTCACGGGCAGAGACACACATAGGCTCAAAATAAAAGGATGGAGGAAGATCTACCAACCAAATGGAAAAGCATAACATTATAATATCGGTTGAAAATATTGTATAGAGACTTAGTCTGTTTAATAGCTTCGTTGGGAAAGTAATTCTTGAGGAAGTGAACTTGAGCTCATAAATGAAGTTAGGTAGGAATAAACCAGGGTGAGTTGCTATCCCCAGGCATTCCCAAGTTTGCCCAGGGGTTAAAAGTGTTCCCAGAACATGATACTTTCACTGCTGAAAAAGCAAAAGTACTGGGAAAACCAGGGAAAGCTAGTCACTTCAAAATAAACTAAATATAAATATGGAAATATATATTCCTAATAAACAGCACATAAAAAGCCTTGAGGTTGAAAGGGAAAAAGACACATTCTAGAAGGAGAAACAGGGGCTTTAAAATCAGTTTCTTCAAATAACCAATTATGCCAAAATTGTTTATTAAATAACCATTCTTTCTCACTGATTTCAAATGCCATATTTATTGTATAATAAATATTTTTGTTGAACAGGTTTTTTTTTTGTAATTTGGGGGGCATTTATTCATCTATTCCTGTGTCAATACTAATCATTTGTAAATATTGTAGAAATAACCATAGGTAAAAATTCATATGCAAATCTATAATTGTTATGTAAGTAAAAGTATCAAAATAGATAAAGTATTATAGCTTTTCTTTGAAAATGCTGTTAGAGTTTTCTAGCATTGGGGAAAAATCAAAATTAAGCTATTTTAAGTATGCTTTGGTTTAAATATGCCACTAAATCATCATAATTTGTACATATCTGTTTAATTTTTGAACTCCTTTTTTTCTAACTAGGTCATAAAAGGATTCTAACCAATAAGAGATAAGCCCTCAGATCTTATATAAAAATATTGGAAGATAGAAACCATTTAGAAACATATTTGCTTCAGATAAACATGAATAGAAAGGATGAATTCTCCAGGAGAGCTGGAAATCATCAGAGAGAAGGAATAAGGCTTCTGGCAAGAATATTTGCTAGCTTGTAAGACTCTAAACTTCAAAATTTTCTGATGTTTTTTTTCTAAAAAACAACCTTGAAATCAAAATTTAGGGTTGAACATTACCAAATTATACACAGTATGTGTGTGAGATAATGCCTTAGGGCTGAATTGTACTGAGATTATATGATTTTACACTATGTAGAAACAAATAATTCAAAGAATATTAGTATACTGTTAGTTTTAGGAAATTCTGAATATTTCATATAACAGTTTTCCTGCTGAAAGGAGTAAATGATAAATTTAGTGAAAACGATAAGTTAACAGCAACAAGAGACATTTACCCTTCAAATTCTTTCAGTAAATTCATTTTACTTTCTGATCATAATTTAAACTGGCTGAAACTTGATTTAGCTTTGGTCAAGGTTGAATCTTTACACACTCCTGAAAGAATGTGGTTTATTGTAGCATTGATCTTTCCTTCCTGCTTAGAATGTATTTTTTTCTGATTTAAAGAGGAAAATTTTCAGCCACTGGGGATCATGAGGCTGATCATTATATCAAAGTATTTCAGAGTTGCTGGATAAGTGATTTCCTGGTGTTAGAAGATACTTTAACGCATTGTCAGAAACCAACCATTTTATAATGACTTGTTTAAAAATTGCTGTTGTTCTTGAGTGTTTGACATTTGACAAGTATTTATTTCAGGAAAATTAGCAGGAAACATACCTCAAAAGCACATGGTGTGTTTTTCTGTTTGCAATGATTTTTTTCTCAGACAATCTTCAGATATTTTTCAATTCCTACAAAAACCCAGTAATTTATTGTAAACATTGCTTTTACTTGTATTGGAATAATAAGAGTTGAATAGTGTGTTATCTCAAACAATGTAATCAAACAAAATATGTGATACACAAAGATATTGTTTTGACTATTTCTTAGTTTTCCTTGTTGTGGTTGCATTGACATCATTTTTCCTTCATAAAATTTTTTCATAGAAGTCTTTTTTTAGTGTTAATAGTAAAATTGAGAGGAAGAGAGATTTCCAATATATCTTTTGTCCCAACACATGCATAGCCTCCTCCATTACCAATATCTCTCACTAGAGTGACAGATTTGTTACAATTGATCGGTCTACAGTGACACATCATAACTACCCCAAATCCATAGTTTACCTTAGGGTTCAGTCTTGGTGTTGTACATTTTATGAGTTTAGACAAATGTATAACACATATGTCCACCATTATAATACCATTCAAAGTATTTTCACTGCCCTAAAAATCCTCTCAACCCTGCCTATTCATCCCCTCTCCCATTTCTGGCAATCACTGATCACAAATTACCAATATTAAAAATGAAACAAAGATTATCACTACAGATCTTACACAAATAAATGAATAACAAGGCAATATTATGAGAATTTTATGTCACTGATTTGAAAATGTAACAAAATAGAGAAATTTCTATAAAAATATAATTTAAATAAACCCTATACCAGAGCACAATATGAAAGAGAAAATCAGAAGAGTCCTGTATTCATTTAGGAATTTGATTTAAAAAAAAAAAAGCTTATTCAGAAATAAAACCGTAGGTTTAGATAATTTTACTGGTGATTTCAGGCTTGCTTTAACAATGTAATTAATCACACTTACAGAATAAAGATGAGAGACAATATGATTTTTATATGAGTTGCAGAGAAAGCATTTGACAAAATTCAGCACTTATTCATGACAAAAACTCATCAAACTTTTAATAGAACAAAACTTTCCTAATTTTACAAAAGTTTTCTACAATAACCTACATTTATCATCATGCTTGGTAAAATATGAACCGCTTTCTTACTAAGATCAGGAAAAAGGCAGATGTATACCCTTACCACTGTTATTAAGCATTGTATTGTGCATATTAATGATTACAATGAGGCAAGAAAAATCAACAAAAATTCTATTGATAAAGAATAAACTGTCCCTTTTTTGAAGATGTCATAACGGTATAGATAATTTTACAATTTCTACAAAACAAATATTAAAACTAATTGGTGAATTTATCAACATTTCAGGAAACAATATGAATATAATATAATCAATTTTATTTTTATATATGAGCAGTAAACAACTGGAGTTTTAAACTGACAAAATCCACTTAATATAGCATAAAAACATAGAATGCAAAGCCTAGATTAAGTAAAGATATTCAAAACTTGTAAATTGAAAGCAATAAGTAAACTATTTCTTTTTTTTTTTTTTTTTTTTGAGACGGAGTCTCGCTCTGTCGCCCAGGCTGGAGTGCAGTGGCGGGATCTCGGCTCACTGCAAGCTCCGCCTCCCGGGTTCACGCCATTCTCCTGCCTCAGCCTCCCAAGTAGCTGGGACTACAGGCGCCCGCCACTACGCCCGGCTAATTTTTTTGTATTTTTAGTAGAGACGGGGTTTCACCGTTTTAGCCGGGATGGTCTCGATCTCCTGACCTCGTGATCCGCCCGCCTCGGCCTCCCAAAGTGCTGGGATTACAGGCGTGAGCCACAGCCCCCGGCCAAGTAAACTATTTCTAAACCAACAAAAATATAGTTCACCCTAGACAGCAAAATGAGACCTTAATAAATTATTCATTGGTTCTACCTGGAGCTAGATCTTTTTCTGTGCTACATGTTACTACCTAGAACAAGAATTGAATTTTTGAGGAGCCTATGTAATTTTTAAGTTTAATTTGTTTAAATTTAGTAAAACGTCCAGAACTATATATAAAAATTTAAATTATTCTATTACTATAGTTGTCTTTTAGCCATTATGATTTGATATGTTGTCATCACTGAAAATTTTTGAAAGTATTGACGTGGAAGGATTGGAGAGGCTTCAAAGATGACATTTGCAGCTGTCAGTTACCAACACTGTACAGATTGGAGGACTAATTTTTCTCCTTGATCTCCTTGAGATGCTCTTCAGATAACACAATTTTCACAATATGAAATTATTTCAAAATATTGATTTATCACGAAATATAAAATTAAGCTAAAAATATATTCATGACAATCATTCTAACCCTCTGCTTTCTTTGAAAATAAGTGACTTTAATTATAGTTTCAATAATGAAAAAACAGTTCACAACTGGAAATATATAATAGTCTGAAGTGAATGTGAAAGAAAGAATATTATTTTTACATGTTTATCATAGCATGAAACAGCATTAAAACAATAGTGCAGATGTTTGCATTTGAGATTTTACAATAGAGGCAGGCATAATTTGATGATAATTTAATGTAGTAATTAGATGAAACTATATTAGATGCAAAAATGTAATTGTATAACATTATGTAATAAATAAAAGTGTGAATATTTAAACTAAATTATTGTACATGTGCAACATTTGTATTCTTTGTATTCAGAAACCTCATTAAAAGGTACATGCATTAATCTAATAATCTCAAAATTAATAGAATTTTCTGGAGAACAGAGGCTATATGATTTTTGTTTGTGTAGCCCCCTCAGCACCAAGCAGAGTTCTAATGTAATTTTTGTTATAGACAAAAATAAAATATCTTATTATAGACAATAAATACATGTGCACAGAGCCAAGTATAAAATATATTTATAATTTATAACCCTAAAGTTTTAGAAAGATATATAAAAAGTAGGAGGTTTTTAAAATAAAGGCATTATGCTTACTTGAAAAATCATTGTTTATAGAAAAAGGTGATATAATGATAGGGATAGCCCCATGCCCTAATTGTTTAGTCCTGTCTTCCTTTAAAATGACTAGCCTTGATGATTTAATGTATCATTCGTTAACAGAAAAAGAAAGGAATAATCTCTGGAAGCACAGTGGATGGAGATAGGGCAGTGTATTGGAAAACTTTACTTAATAGGAAAAACTGTTTGCTAGGGACATAATAAGCCAGAAAGAGCATTGCTTCCATCCTCTCAACAACAGCAACCAGGACAATCTGCACATCCACAGGCATTCTTGCATCAATCAGAGCAATTAACTAACCCAAAACCAAAGGAAAAACAAAGACCTTCAAGAAGAAATAAACATGGGCACTTGTTTACCTGAAACAGATGCAGTCAGACATTGGTAACAACTCAACTAACATTATTAAGATATTGGAAAACGCTCAGTGTAGGCTTGTGAGAGAATATGGCATTCCTGGGGTCATGGATGTTAAGAAAATTTCACACCCACGTGTTGAGTTGAAATAGGCATGGTAGGAATATCTCACCATGGAAAAGGGTGGATTTATTTTTCTGTTGTTCATACTTAAGAAAAACGACAGATAAAATATTGATAATGTAGATTAAACTTAAAAGTATATTGTGTCAGTAGCCATTACTTTATGACTAACACAAAACTGAGAAAATACACTTTCACTGTTTAAAAAAACACTGTCAAATCCAGTAATTAAATCAATCAGGTCATTGATAAATGAAGTTTTAACGTAGCATTGTGGTTTCACTTTTGATTGACTTGTTAGTGTAAATGAACACATCAACCTACATTCATGTTGGAACTAAACTTATTCAAACCAAAGTTTTCATACTGATGAAAGACTGCGGTAAAAACTGATGAAAGCATTCTGTGAGACTCAGTTGGCTATATGAAAATTATAATAAAGATTATATATTTTATTATCCATTGTGATTGATATATATCCTTTATATCAGTAAAATGTATAGTAAAGTTATGTGCACATACATATAAATATATTTATTTGGGTGGTGTGTTAGTTCGTTTCCATGCTGCTGATAAAGACATACCTGAGACTGGGTAATTTATAAAGAAAAAGAGATTTAATGCACTCACAGTTCCATGTGGCTGGGGAGGCCTCAAAATCATGGCAGAAGACAAAAGGCACCTCTTACATGGTGGCAGATGATAGAGAAAATGAGAGCTCAGGAAAAGGGGAAACTCCTTATATCAGATCTCATGAGACTTAATCCCTACCTTGGGAACAGTATGGGGGAACTGCCCCATGATTCAGTTGTCTCCCAATGGATCCTCCCATAATACATGGGAATTACAGGAACTACAGATCAAGATGAGATTTGGGTGGGGACACAACCAAACCATACCAGGTGAGATAGGAGTGGCTGTTAATCATGTATGAGTAACACTATTGGCTATATACCATAATTTACCTATCCATTCTGTTGTCAGTGAATATTTGGGTTGTTACAATTTTTTTTGCCATTTTTCAGGGATCTAAAATATTGCACATGCTCCTGTTGTCAAACTTTTCAGTGAAGGTCAAGATAGGAAATATTTTAGCTTTGCTGGCCATATGGTTTCTGTCACTACTATTCAAGTCTATGATTGTGTGAGAAAAAGCCATAGACAATGGATGAATGAGTGGGAGCTGAATCTGGCCCATTAGCATCAATGTAACAACTCCTGATCTTGGGTAACTTGGAAAAAATTGCTGGGTATGTGTATTCACTTGCTCAGCTACTGTAACAAAGTACCACAAAATACGTGGCTTAAATAATAGAAATGTGTTGTCATACAGTTCTGGAAACTAGAAGTCCAATATGAAGGAAGAGATAGGATTGGTTCCTTCTGAGGACTGTGAGGAAAGCATCTGCTCCAGGCCTTTCTCCTTGGCTTGTAGATAGTTATCTTCTCCCTATCTCTTTACATCATCATCCCTCTATTATGGCTGTGTCCAAATTTCCCCTTCTTACAAGAGCCCCTGTGATATGAATTAGAGTCTTACCCAAATGACCTTGTTTTATTTTAATTACCACTATAAAGACCACATCTCCAAATAAGGTTACATTCTGAGGTAATTGGGCATAGGATTTCAACATAAGGATTTTAGAGGACACAATTCAATCCGTAACAGTATTAAACTATTCAAACATACAAGAAAACCAAAAATTGTTTTAAAAGTGACAAGCAATATTTATACTTCTAAAAGGAATAATTCTTTGCCAGAACTTAATATTTTCAGACCTCTTAAGTTTTTCCACAGTCATGGATAAAAATGGAAACTTATCAAAGTTTTAATTCGCACTTCCCCAAATACTAACAACAATGAACATAGTTGATTAGCTTTTATATATGTATGTATTCAGTTTTCTTCTGTTTTTCTGGAGTTTCCACTACTGACTTTGATGGAAGGTTTATGTTAACAAAAGAAACAAATATTTGTAGGCATTATATGTTATCTTTACTTTTCTTCTCAACTTAAAAACGGAAATTTTTACTCTACCTTTGAATTCGTTAGTGATATCCTCCTGACTCCTTACATTCAAAATAAAACAAAAAAGTATTTCTTTCTAAATAACTATTAATAACAAATATTCCCTTCCACAAAGATGTTATATTTCCCCTTTTTTATTTCTTGATACCAATAAAAGGTATTAGAGATATTTTCCTTTTCTAAATTCCACAACTGCTTGTCTTCCAATTTTTGGATTTTGACTAGTTTATATATTTAATCCCAAGCTATTACTGGATTTTTCTAATAAAATTTCAAAATTTATATTTAACTACTATACTAATATATTCTCTATTATATTATCATCCAACATAACATACAATATCACTTTTATTATATGTTCAATTGCTTGTATGAATGTACTATGTCTGTACACCTAGTCTATGAAAACCACCTGTATTTTTCATATCACCTATATTGAAATATTTGTTAAAATTAGCTATTGTAATTTTAAAAAGTAAGAGTATGGGCCAAACAGCTAGGAGTAAGTCTGCCAGCAAGTTTATACATTTTAAAAATAAACATTACTAGTATCTAATGGAAGGTGATGTTGTTGGGATTAAATAAATTACAATATGAAGAAACATGTTTGATAGATAGTAAACACCAGCAACATTTATTATTGTCATTAATTGTTTTTGCTTTCTTCAAATAGAAACCATCAAATTTAAATTTTCTTCAGTCCTACAATATCCTCTTTTCTTTTTTCATCATGTCAGATGAATGAAATCTTGAGTGATTTTAGTATATGAGTGACTATCTGTTTCTTTTCCTGTGCTCTACATGTGCTTCCAGGAGTGCACTGGAGTATATAATAAGTATAGTGTTGATCTCCGTCTTTTTTTTTCTTCAACTTATGCTGTGTCTGCTCCATAGTCTAAGTTTTAAGTTTGATTCATCTTCTTAAGTTTAGTTAAACAGTGATTATTCATTGCTGTACTTATTTGCTTGTTTAAGAAAAATTACTTAATTGCTTGATTAAATTGTCTCACCTGTACAGCTTTTGAGACCTCTCTGGATACCTAAAAATTCACAGGTTGTGGGAAAAACAAATCAAACAAACAAACAGAATCTTAGGTTTTGTTTCAGTGGACTTGGTGTGGAGTCCTACCTGCTCCCAGTTCTCTCTAGAACCTGTCAGGGCAGAGATTGTCCCCTCAACCATAAACATAGATCATAAAAATTTAAGTCATTTTATAATGCCAACTGTTTTACTCAGTTCAGGTTGCGTGTGCCATAAACTATGTAATGTTTAAAGAACAGAAATTTCTTTCTCACAGTTTGAGAGTTCTTATGAGCAGGGGTTCAGCATGGATGGGTTCTAGTGAAGGCCCTCTTTCAGATTGCAGACTGTTAACTTTTTCCTGTATCCTCATATGTCAGAGAGCAGAGAGAAAAAATAGCAAACTCTCTGGTGTTTTTTTTTGGAATGGTCCTAATTCCATTTATGATGGCTCTACCCTGATGACCTAAATACCTTCTAAAGGCCCCACCTCCTAATATCATCACAATGGTGATTAGGATTTCAACATATGAATTTTGCTAGGACACAGATTATAGCATCATTCAATAACCATGCATCACAATCAATTAGACAAAGTCTTTATCAAAGCCTCAGAAGGTTTCATATTCTGAGATTGAGTGGTTCATATTGTTGTTATAAATTGTTTTTCTTCCTATGATTCTAATATCTTTTAGATAATAAATCTTGAATGTTTCAAGGACCAGATGAGTAATTTGTACTTAATTATTATTGACTTACAAAACATAAGAAAACGAATGATTGAAATATTAGAACGCAATTTAACCCAAGACAGTGGGCATTTGTTTATGAAAAATACTCTGTGAAAGCTAAGATCGTATCATCCTTCATCTTAACAAGACTGCAAGTAGTAACTAACAACTTTTATTTATGAAATTAAAATAATGCATCATGATTTTATATCAGTATTAATTTATAAATCTTATTTATAATAGCTACAATATGGAAATTTGCTGAGTGAGAAGTAATGCTACTGAGCATAGGGGTTATTTGTGAATAAAAAGAATATTGCTTCCTTGCACTATGAAGATATTATATAATGTATATAAAGAGAAAACATTGTCAAAGGTGAATAGTTCATCTAGTCTTATAGAATGTCTTTTACAGAAGACTAAAAATATATTTGTTTGTTTAATTTTGTACAACAAAAGTAGTTGTCATCTTGGCTACTGACGCCAAGAGTTTAGGACCAGAGGTGATATATTTACATGCTCACTGTGAATGGTAGGTGGGTACTAAGGCTGCTGGCCTGCAACTATTCCCTTTACTGATGCATTTATTCCCTTGATTTGGGGTCCCTTCCAAAGAAAGAAGACAAGGCAGGTGACCCAGTCTAATCTCTGGGTAAATTAACAATGCTGTTTTTGAGGGGAAGAGGCCTTGTCTATTGAATGTGCTGAATAGGACTGAACCCAGCTAGGGATTACTTGTAGCAAAGAAAACCTGAATCTATGAGCCATAGCTTTTTGGTGAATGTCATATAAGCTATTACAAATAGTTATCTAAACAGCAAAATTTTAAGATGCTGTTTGGATAAACTATTTGTAATAGCTTCTATGAAGTTTCCCAAAACCACCCTCAGATTCAATAATTCACTGGGAAGATTTACAGAACTCACCAAAAGCTGGTATACTCATAGTTAAAATTTATAAAAAACAAACGAACAAACAAACAAAAAAACCCTCAACCAAAGGAAGAGACACAAAAGAAAGAACCCAGAAGAGCTCCAAACATGGAGCTTCCAGTTGTCTTCTCTTAATGGAGTCATAGACAGTATTAACTCCTCTTGGCCATACCATATGACAGTACGCATGGAGGGTCCTCAACTAGGGAAGCTTGCTGGAGCCTTTAGTGTTCAGAATAATCGGGATTCAATCATAAACCCCTGTGTGGCTGTCCTTTTATTTTCAGTCTCTCCTGTAAGTCAGGCTGGTATGTTTGGTCTCCTCTTCCTCCAGAAATCAGAAATGATACGGCATGGTCCAAAGCCCTCAGCATAAATCACATTGTTAGACTAATCAGTGGCCAAATTTCTAAGCAAATAGCAGGACAGGACATTCCAAGGACCTAAAGATCATCTCAGAGCCAAGTAAAAAAGCCAAGTCTATTTAAGTGCAAGGTATTTCTTCATTACCCAGCTATGTAACTTCTAGATATTAAAATGAAGATGTTGGAAATTCAAATGATTTTCACTGTGTGCGCAAGTACCACCAGCCTCATTAAAGACACCATCTACTATTCTGGGTCTGAAGTGCATATCCAATATGAGAAGGACAAGCCTGGGGAACCACTCTCAATAAACCACACATTTTTTTTCTTTGAGCTTTGGATTGCCTATATTCTTGAAATTAATAATAATGCTGTACACTTTGTGAAAACATCTGATTCATTTGGTTTGGGTGTTACAATCATTCTATTTATTGGGTCTCTGAAATTATGTCTAACTTGAAAATGATTAGGTCCAAACAGAAAGGAAGAGTTAAGAAAGCAAGAATATAAAAATAGAGACTACACAAGATATATAAATGCCTGGTTAGGGCAGGGCCAATTGAGATGCAGTTTTCAGTAAATTCTGACTTAAGTGACTCTGGTATGCAGTTTGTAAGGTTTGGATGTTTATCCGCTCCAAATCTCATGTTGAAATGTAATCCTCAGTGTTGGAGGTGGGGCCTGGCGGGAGGTGATTGGCTTATAGTGACAGATCCCTCGTGAATGGTTTAGCACCATCCCCTTGGTGATCACCCTTTGGTGATCAGTTCACCAAGTTCTCAATCAGTTAATTTCCCTGAGATCCGGTTGTTTAAGCGTCTGGGAACTCCTCCTTCTCACTCTTTCTCCCGCTCTCACCATGTGACACAACTACTCCCCTTTGCCTTCTGCCATGATTATAAACTTCATGAGACTCTTGTCAGGAGCAGATCCCAGCACCATGTTTCCTATACAACAGCCTGTAGATTTGTCAGCCAATCAAACCTCTTTTTCAAAAATAAATTACTGAGCCTCAGGTATTTCTTTATAGCAACACAAAAGGCCTAACACACATCTTATACCCCAAACTGAGAACTATTGCAATAAATATTCCTTATGCACAGTTTTATTCCTGTCTCTATATCTCCGTATCTCTATATCTCCATATCTTTATATCTCTTATCTATCTATCTCTATTACCTAATCTATTTAACAATATTAACATGAAGGATATACAGACAGTCTTCAAACTATTCTTGCAGCTTCTGTGTAAGTCTGAAATCTTTCAAAAAACAAGCTTAAAATATCATTGCTTATACCACCTTTCCCCAAATGCTCTTGTTGGTTTAAATATATGTTATTTATTATCAAATAGTATTAGTCCTGTGTTCTATTAAAACTTCTGACATATTTATAATAAATAATTTTTTAATATTTTGTTTAAATGTACTTTTGGGTATTTAGTATTGAAGAGAATTTTTTTATGAAATGAAGAAAATCTTTAATTTACATACATACATACAAAACTAATATAAAGTAATAAAAACCAAACACCGCATATTCTCACTCATAGGTGGGAATTGAACAATGAGATCACATGGTCACAGGAAGGGGAATATCACACTCTGGGGACTGTGGTGGGGTGGGGGGAGGGGGGAGGGGTAGCATTGGGAGATACACCTAATGCTAGATGACGAGTTAGTGGGTGCAGCGCACCAGCATGGCACATGTATACATATGTAACTAACCTGCACAATGTGCACATGTACCCTAAAACTTAAAGTATAATAAAAAATAAATAAAAAAAATAATAACTACAGGCCTACCTCATTTTATTGTGCTTCACATGTATTGCACTTTTCACAAATTGAAAGTTTATGGCCACCTTGCATTGCACAAGTCTATTGGCACCATTTTTCCAAAGTGTGTTCTCACTTCATGTCTCTGTGTCCCATTTTGGTAATCTCTCCCAATATTTCACACATTTTCATCATTATTACATCTGTTATGAAATCTATGATCAGTAACCTTTCATGACACTATTGTAATTGCACTGGGGCACCACAAACTGCACCTATATAAAATGGCAAACTTAACTGATAAATGTGTGTGTTGACTGACCAGTTGTTTTCTTTTCTCTCCCCCCTTCTTAGGCTTCTCTATTTCCTGAGATACAACGATATTAAAATTAAGCCAGTTAATAACCCTAAAATGGGCTCTAAGTGTTTCAAGTGAAATGTTGCATATCTTTCACTTTAAATCAAAAACTAGAAATGGTTAGGCTTGGTGAGGAAGGAATGTCGAAAACTGAGATATATCAACAGCTAGGCCTCTTGTGCCAAACAGTTAGCCAAGTTGTGAATGCAAAGGAAAATTTCTTGAAGGTAATTAAATGTGCTCCTCCAGTGACCACATGAATGGCAAGAAAATGAAGCAACCTTACTGTTGGTATGGAGAAAGTTTGAGTGGTCTAGGCGGAAGATCAAATGAGCCCAACATTCCCTTAAATCCAAACTGAATCCAGAGAAAGACCCTAGCTCTCTTCAATTCTATGAAGGCTAGGATAGGCAAGAAAGCTACAGAGCAAAATTTAAAGCTAGCAGAGATGGGTTCATGAGATCAAAGAAATGAAACCATCTCCATAACATAAAACTACAAGATGAAGCAGCAAGTGCTGATGTAGAAGTTGCCACAAGTTATCCACATCTAGCTAAGTTAATTGATGAAGCTGGCTACAGTAAACAACAGATTTTCAATGCATATGAGATAACCTTCTATTGGAAGAAGATGCCATTTAGGACTTTCATAGCTAGGGACAATAAGTCAATGCCTGGCTTCAAAGTTTCCAAGGACAGGCTGCCTCTAGTTAGGGGGTAATGTAGCTGTTGACTTTAAATTAGAGCCAATGCTCATTTACCATTCTGTAAATTCTAGGGCTCTTAGGAATTATGCTAGATCTATTCTACCTGTGACCCAAAATGGAAAAACAAAGCCTGGATGACAGCCCATTTGTTTACAGCATTGTTTACTGAATATTTTAAGCCTACTGTTGAAAACTACTGCTCAGAAAAAAAAAAAAAGATTCCTTTCAAAATATTACTGCCCCTTGACAATGCATGTAGTCATCCAAGAGCTCTGATAGAGATATACAAGAAGATTAATGTTGTTTTTCATCACTGCTATCACAACAATCATTCTGCAGCTCATGGGTCAAGGAGTTATTTTGACTTTCTAGTCTTACTATTTAAGAAATACATTTTGTAAGGACATACCTGCCATAGACAGTGATTCCTCTAATGGATCTGTGCAAAGTAAATTGAAAATCCTCTGGAAAAGATTCACCATTCTAGGTGCAATTAATAACATTTGAAATTAATGGGATGAAGTAAAAATTCCAGAATAAACAGGAGTTTGGAAGAAGTTGATTCCAACTCTAGTGGATGACTTTGAGGAGTTCAAGGCTTCCCTCAGTGGAGGAGGTAACTGTAGAAGTGGTGGAAATAGCAAAAAGATTAGAATTACAAGTGGAGCCTGAAGATATGAATGACTTGTTGTAATCATATGACAAAACTTTAATGAAAGAGGAGTTCCTTTTTATGCATGAGCAAATAAAGTGGTGTCTTGAGATGGAATCTACTCCTAGTAAAGATGTTGTGAACATTGCTGAAATGACAATAAAGGATTTAGAATATTCGAAAGTTCTACTTTGGGCAAATTATTATCAAACAGCATCAGATGCTAGAGAAATCTTTCATTAAAAGGCCAATGTGCCAAACTTTATCGTTCTTTTATTTTAAGAAGTTTGCCACAGCCACCCCAACCTTCAGCAACCACCATCCTGATCAGTCAGCAGGTATCAACATCGAAGCAAGAACTTCCACCAGAAAAAAGGATTATGACTCTCTGAAGACTCATATGATCATTAGCATTGTTTAGCAATAAAGTATTTCTTAATTAAGTTATGAATATTGTTTTTTAAAACATAGTGCTACTGCATACTTAACAAACTACAGTATAATGTAACCATAACTTTTATATACATTGGGAAACAAAAAAATTAAGTAAATTGCTTTAATGAAATATTTGCTTTATTACAGAAGTCTGGAACTGAACCCACGGTATATACGAGGTATGCCTGTATATTTACATCAAACCAATCTGTCCAGTCTGATTATTTTTTCTCAAAATTTAAGAATTAATGAGGAATTCTATAATTATGTTATCATAAAAAAATTAAGTAAAGCAGGATACATATAAAGGAACAAAATCTGTGATAATTAATCAGTAATATGAATCTTAGGATAAAGTAATTGTTATTTCAATATTCATGTTTTGCCAAGCAGCTATAAAAATGTATCTGAAGACAACAACTCTTATCTTTTCTGATAGATGTTTAAAATTTGAATTGGAGATATTTAGTGTTAGGACAGCATAGAATATTAAAACATATTTATTTTATAAATATATAACATATATTTAAACATATTTATTTTAAATAGTTTGCATATTATAAATTAAATAGTAAAAAAAGTTATACATCTATAGACCTAAAAGCTTGCAATATTAACAAGGTCTAGAATTCCATATTCAAAAAGCAAAAATTTTTCATGTTAATTTGGCAGAGTATTTGAGTATAAAAATTTACTATGGTATTTTCAATGTACTTTTTTAAAAGTTATATTTATTATTTATATGAAAAACAAATGAGATAAATATAAAAAAGTTAATTACACTGATTAATGAATTATTATATTTGTAAAGCTAAGATTCTAACATTTTGACAAAATAGTATAATACACTGCCAAGAATAGAAAAATGTAGGGTTGAAATTACATGAAAATATTAGAAATAGGCAAAAATAAAATATACAGTAGTCCCCCCTTATCTGTGGTTTCACATTTCTTGCTTTCAGTTACCTGCAGTCCACCATGGCCTGAAAATATTAAAAGGAAAATTCCAGAAATAAACAATTTATAGGTTTTAAATTATACACCATTCTGAGTAGCATGATGAAATCTTGTGCCATCATCCTGCTGTGTTCTGCCCAGGAAATAAATGTGCCCTGTGTCCAGCATCTCCACGCTGTAGACTCTCCCTTCCAGTCAGTCCCTTATCTGGGCTCCCAGCTCAAGTTCTGTTACTTCAGTGCTTAGGTTCAAGTAACCCTTATTTTAGTTAGTAATGGCTCCAAAGCACAAGAGTACTGATGCTGGAAATTTGGATAAGCCAAATAGAAGCCATGAAGTGGTTCCTTTAAGTAACAAAAAAAAAAAAAAAAAAAAAAAAAAAAAAATGCAAGTTCTCGACTTAATAAGAAAAAATAATTATATGTTAAGGTTGCTAAGATCTATGGTAAGAACAAATCTTCTATCCGCGAAATTGTGAAGAAGGAAAAAAATGTTGTGCATAGTTTCTATAGGATTTGTACTGTTTGCCGTGTCAGGCATCCACTGGGGTTCTTGGAAGATATATCCCACAGATAAGGGGAGACTACTGTATAGAAGTTCCAAGACAAAAAATACTATCAATTCAGAAGAAAAAAGAGATTTCCACAACACACTCCATAATAAAACCAATGTAATTTGGTATCTAAGACATAACTGAAGCAATCAGTACTTCAAAATGATAGAAAAAAAGATAGGAAAAAAGATTCCCCCTTCTCAGGCAACCCACAGCAACCAAACTAGATTTCTTGGAATTTCTAGAACACAACAGGACTGCTTTTGTATTGATGACTCCTTGCACTTATATTGCCTCCTTCAGGAAGTCTACTCTCCTAATTTCTTCCTTCAAGGTTTCTTTGCTTTGTTTCTTTGCCTTTTCAAATATTTGTTCAAAAGTCCTCTTCTCCTTTTGGACTTCTTTGAACATCCTCACAGCCTCCCACTCCTGAACTCTATATTCCTTCACTGCTGTTTAATATTTCTTCATAGAACATTTAAGAATCTAACATGCTACATGTCTCTGTCCATTAGAATTAAGCCCCAAGGGACAAGGTTTTTGTTTTGTTTTTAATTCCAACTTTTATTTTAGATACAGGGGGTACATGTACAGGTTTGATACATGGGAATATTGTGTTATGACGAAGCTTTGGGTACAGATCCTGTCACCCAGGGAGTGAGCACGGTACCAATTAGGTAGTTTTCCAACCCATTCTCTCTTTTCTCCCTCCTCCTTCTAGTAGTCTGCACTGTCTACTGTTCCATATTTATGTCCATGTGTGCTCAGGGTTTAGCTTCCGCTTATAAGTGAGAACATGCTGTATTTGGTTTTCTGTTCCTTTGTTAATTTGCTTAGGATTATGGCCTCCAATTGAATCCATGTTGCTAGGTGCTTGGATCAGTGCTGCAACAAAAAAAATATGAAATTTTGTCTGCTTTATTTGCTGCACTGACCCTAGCACCTAGAATAATTATCAGCACAGGGTTAGCGCCCCATCTTTATTTGATAAACAGATGAAAAAAAATTTTGCAACACGAAAAACTGAGATATAATTTGTATTCAGAACATATAAAGAATTCCTATAAAGCAATTTAAAAACACAATTCAATAGAAGAATAGGCAATGGACAAGAATAGGGAATATAAATAGCCAATAAATATAAGAAAGTATGTTCAATTGCATCCATCAGGAAAATGCAAATTAAAACAAAATGAGGTTTCCAATGAGGATGGAACATAACCTGTAACCTCAGATGTCTGATCTAATGGCTAATACTGAATCTTTGAGATAAAGACATCTCCCTATTCCTTACCTTATGCTTCAAAATAAAAGGAAACTGCATGGCTTATAGATTGTGCTGCTAGCTACAGTGAGAAACAGGCATTCCTTCTGAGTATGGGGAGTCTTTGAGTAGCAGATGGGATTAACTCAAAGAGAAGGCAATTAACTAGACTGTCAAAGCCTCCTGCCTACCTGGCAAGAATGCCAATAGTTATGAGCAACCATCCTGTTGCTTCTTGTTGCGATCTAATTTGTGCTTCCAGAAGTATTTATCATTTAGTGTGGTATTTTCAAGAGTTATGTAATGCAATTAAGAAACATTTTGTGATATTAAATATTTCCAGGGTAGGAGAAAAGAAGATATTTTATTTAGTAGTTTGTTAGCTTGATTTGTAACTTGAAAATATTTAAGACATATGGTATGTTGGCGTTTATCTTCACTCCGGCCCCAGGCCCTTCAAATGTTAGGGACTGGCCTGTTCCTAATTATTTATATAGAGAAACTTTTGCATATGCATATACATACATATATATATATATATAATATATATATATATAATATATATATATATAGACCCCACACACATACACATACACATACATATACACACAGAGACTTGTCTAGGCAGGTCAAAAATTCCAGGACAGAATTTTAATTTGCATCAAGAGTTGAATGATGTGGGCCGGGCGCGGTGGCTCACGCCTGTAATCCTAGCACTTTGGGAGGCCGAGACGGGCGGATCACGAGGTCAGGAGATCGAGACCATCTTGGCTAACACGGTGAAACCCCGTTTCTACTAAAAATACAAAAAATTAGCCGGGCGTGTTGGCGGGCGCCTGTAGTCCCAGCTACTTGGGAGGCTGAGGCAGGAGAATGGCATGAACCTGGGAGGCGGAGCTTGCAGTGAGCCGAGATCCCGCCACTGCACTCCAACCTGGGAGACACAGCGAGACTCCGTCTCAAAAAAAAAAAAAAAAAAAAAAAGAGTTGAATGTGTTAATAAAAATTCTGCATTGTATTCTTACAGTTACATACCTAAACATCATCTAAAAATAAAGTTAATTAAATAATAAACATATTATATTACATATTGTTATGTGTGCATACACACATACACGCAATAGAAGCAAAAATTTCAAGTCCCAAGTAGGATACATATAGTGTGCTTTCACTCAGGACTCGCTGCATGGAAATGTACTGTTGTAGACACACATGGCCCTACATGGATGTGTACTGGTATAGACACACATGATAAGATATTCATTATCATATCAGTGATGCAAATTTAAACAACGGGATTTCATTTTGCTTATTTAATGAGAAATGTTATGTTAGCTACCTAGTGTTTGTAATAGTATAAGAGATGGACATCTTAATATAAACACTGTTAGAATAAACATTTATACTTTTTGTAGGACAATATAGCAAAACACATCAAAATTCTTAAAATGCAATTAACATTTGATTATATTCAGAAATATATCTTTAAGAAAGAATCACAGGTAAACATAAATATTTTTGAAAATGAAGCTTCATATTTCTTTAAAATTAGCAAAACAATGGATATAAGTTAATTGTCTAATAGAACACAGGCTAAATAAATTGATGAGATATTATTTGTATGGAATAGTAAGCAGCTCGTAGAAGTGACATTAAAGAGACAAATGATAAATTGAGAATGCATAAAATTGCCAGTGGCTGAATTCTGTGGATGAAAGCTAGGTAAAGATATTTGGTTTTAATCTAATGTTTGGTGTTCATATAATGTTTAAATTTTCAACAACAAGTAGGTGTTGCTCTTAAAGAAAATACATCTCTTCAAAATAATATGTCATGAATTTTTTCCTGCTTTTTTCCCCTTTAAGTCTTTATTTTTATGCTTATTACAAAACAAATATTTCAGAAATCGTTTCAACAACTTTCAAATGTTTGCAGTTTTCTCATCTCATGGTTAACCAAAGGCTCACACACATTGAAGGATTTCTTCTTCTGCCTTGTTAGATGAAGCGACTTCTTTGCTATTCTATAAATCACTGATAAGAAAACATCGAGCAGCTGTCCATCCTTCCACATAACCCAGCAAATGTAAAACCCACATGATTAGAGAATACATAAACTCATCAGCTTACATGGCCATTACATCTTTTTAAATTATTCTTTTCTCAAAATTATATTTAATTTGACATTATTCTCTTTGGTGGGTGACACTCTTAATCATGTGTGAAAAGAAAAAAAATTATTTTTTTAACTCACCGGCAATAGTATTAAGTTAATATAAATATGACCCTGTTTTTTCTCTACAATTATTTGAGTCCAAATCTCTTGTAACTGATGAAGTTACAGATTCAGAACTCTGAAGGTTGTCTAGAGGTGTTAGCATCTAAAAAAAAAAACTGTGCTCTTCTCTCTCCCTGTCTCTCTTCCTCTCCTTCTTTCTCTCTCTACCCCTTCAGCGAAATTAGAATTTGTGGAATCCTTCATTCACATCCATAGTTGGTAGGTAGGTACATAAATAGACAGATAGATGTTAATAGATAGAATATGTAACACACAAATATCATATAAATCATATATATATTTACCTAAATCTCTTATTTATAGATGTTTGCCCACATATTATGTCTCTATATTGCTTTATTGGTTCATGTCTACACCTTGGAATTTATTTCAGCAGCTTTATCTACAAATAGGCATTACATAGTATTTTTTTAAAAAGGCCGGGCATGCTGGCTCACTCCTGTAATCCCAGATCACAAGGTCAAGAGATTGAAACCATCCTGACCAACATGGTGAAACCCTGTCTCTACTAAAAATGCAAAAATCAGTTGGGTGTGGTGGCGCATGCCTGTAGTCCCAGCTACTCAGGAGGCTGAGGCAGGAGAATCGCTTGAACCTGGGAGGTGGAGGTTGCAGTGAGACAAGATGGTACCACTGCAGTCCAGCCTGGCGACAGGGCTAGCCTCCATGTCAAAAAGGAAAAAAGGAAGGAACAAAAGGAAGGAAGGAGGGAAGGAGGGAAGGAGGGAGGGAGGGAAGGAAGGAAGGGAGAGAGAGAGAGAAAGAAAGAAGGAAAGAAAGAAAGAGAAAGAAAGAAAGAGAAGAAAGAAAGAAAGAAGAAAGAAAGAGAAAGAAATAAGAGGTGGGAGGGAGGGAGGGAAGACAAAGAAAGAAAGAGAGAGAATGAAGGAAAGAAAGAAAGAAAGAGAAAGAAAGAGAAAGAAAGAAAGAAAGAAAGAAAGAAAGAAAGAAAGAAAAGAAAAAAGAAAAGAAAAGAAAGAAAAAAGAAAAGAAAAGAAAAGAATAGAAAGAAAAACTGGTCATGGTGGCTGGTTCCTGTAAACCCAGCACTCCCAGCACTTTGGGAGGCTAAGGTGGGAGGACTGTTTGAGTCCGGGAGTTCAAAACCAACCTGGGCAACATTATGAGACCTCCTTTCTCCAAAAAAAAACAAAACCAAACAAACAAAAAAACAATGGCATGGTGGCAAGTGTCTTTTGTCGTCCCATCCCAGCTATTCAGGAGGCTGTGGTGAGAGGATCACTTGAGCCTGGGAGGTTGATGCTGCAGTGAGCTGGGATCACACCACTGCACTCCAGCCTGGGCAACAGAGTGATACCTTGTCTCATAAAATAAAATAAAATAAAATAAAATAAAATAAAATAAAATAAAATAAAATAAAATAAAAAGCATTTAAAGCACTGTTCCTTAACAACTGAAATGGAGAAAATTAAAACATATTTAGATGGATTGAGTATGGAAAATATTGAGCCCTATTCTTAGAAGGGAAAATGCAGTAAATCTTTCATGAGCTCTGGCCAGTAGTCCTTTTCTATAGAATACCAATACTGAAAAGTTGACATTCTGTAAAGCTGTAATCAGTGCAGTTCCAGTTTTTATACTGCTTTAATAGGCATACAGTATTTGAACAAATTGACAGTTTGAGTTAAAAAGGCTTAGAAGTTTGATTAACAATTAACTGTGTTTTATTCAGTCAGAGCTTGTTAGAGAAAATTTAAAAATGCCACAATTCAAAAGTAATCTATTTTCACCCTTAATGTCCTATTAAGAGGTTTGTGCACCTGAAGTACTTTTGAGTTTTCAATATCCCATTTGAACCTTCTTGGTTTGACTTATTTTTTCATGTGTCAGTTATATTCAACTGATTAACATGCCTGATGAATACGCGTTTTTAAAAAGTTCTTATCCAATGGGCTTTGAATTAAATCTGTATACGGCAATGATTTTCTAACATTTTAGAAAATTGAAAATAAGTTTTCTATTATTTTCCCAATTAGGCAATACTGTATTCAAGAACTCAGAACAAGGTTTTAAAACTTTGAGAGATAAAATATGGCAGTTGATGCATACACTTATTTATTTCATATTTTATGTCTGAAATGTATTAATATATATTTTAAGTATGTTTAAAGTATGTAATAGATAAATTCACAGCAACTGGAGCAAATCCTCATGAGGTTAGAATACCTCTAAAGACAGCATCATGTGTTAAATAAATGTCATTCCCAAGCCAGAATTTATTGTTATTGACTTTGGCCGGTCTTTCGGCATTAAGGTGACTGTAACTTTTATTCTCTTAAATCCCCTGCATCCTTGTTTAATCCACTGTGCAGTTCATGCTAGGATTAGTTTGTATAATGAACTCTCAAAATGCCTAACATATTTTTTTGTTTTAGATTTGTTAATAAATGTTGTCGGCGGTGGACACAAAATGAAAATATATTTAAGTAACTTTATATCCTTATCTGTGATGTTGATTTGAATTTTGTGTTCCTCTTCTTAAATATTAATCTGACTAGGTGTTAAATTGTGTCTTTCTTTGGGCAACCTGTACAGGCCTTTCTAGATAAGGAGTTTTTTAAATGAATGAGCATATCTTGTAAATTGAGACACATATTCCATATATGCAGTTGTAGTTTGATAGCAGCTAATGGGAAACTGTCAAAGATAAACAAATTAAATGGAGATAAATCAATTTGGAGGAAGCCAATTACAGTACACAAATTAATTCATTTAAGGCACTCACCCCCTCTTCATCTATGAGGATACTAGACTTCTAAATATGCTCAGTAGATGCACCGACCTTGTGTCAAGATTTACCTGGGGCAGTCCTGCATTTTGCCTACTGTCTCTTCGTAATTATTCATTGTACTCTCTTTTACTTTCAAAAGTTTCCATGTTTGAATGATAAATTATGTGGTCACCCTAGCTACATGCAATAGGGACTTACAGAAGATAAGTTAAACGGCAGCCAAAATATAGCAGAGAGATTAGAAAGCAGAAAGGTCAAGGGCATGTCTGGGAAGAGAGCAGACAGTGACTTTCACAGCTTTCATTAGAACATTATTTTCCAAAGTTTTATGTATCAGTCCAGATATTCTCCATGGAAACAAAGTTATTTGATGAAATAACATTGGCTGACATGTCATGTTAAATTAATCTTTGAAAAAAATCACAACATACATTATCATAGCAAAGTCTCAGAAAACCTGTAGAAAATAAAAAAATTATTCAAATGTCTTTAACTCAACATTCCTTGAGTGTTTATAATCATCAACTCTCTTTTTTCCATGAAGTAACTATCAACATCTAAAAGAAATAATATTCTATAAATATGGTTATTATATACTTGATTTCTCAAACCAGTATTCCTGAAAGTGAGAGGGGACTGTAACACTATTAATAATTAAACTGGAGAAAAACGTAAATAGGAATTGTCCTGGCTAAGCCAGGACAGTTTTAAGTGATCTACACATTGTTCCATGTATCTCAGTTCATTGAGTCTGCTCTATATTACTGTACATATTGAAAGTAATACCCAAAACAATACATCAACTCATCTGTAGTAGTTAAGCTGTATGTACTTGGTTTCCACTTAAATAGAGTGGGTTCATCATTCCTGTTTCAGGGAGATGTAAAAATGGAAGAGAAGTGCTAAGTCACTAGTTTTTTGTAAGCAATCAGTTAGCCTGGGCAGTGTCAGGTGGGGAAGATATGACAGAATTTTAATAGAACACTTAGTTGTCAGAAAGACCTTTTGTCATATAAAATATGAGCAGTCAATGAAGTAGAAAGGGAGGCTTTAGATACCAAGATAAATTAATTCAGTAATGTGAAAGGTAACATGTTACTTATCCTTAAATAGAATTAAATTTCACATTCTGAATGTGAATGTATACCACGTGTATGCTTATACATGTAATCAGCAGCATTTCTTGGATCTAAGTAAATAATAATTTTATTACATAAAGCTTTACAAAACACATATATATTATAAAATCTTAACTTGCCTAAAACACTCATGGAGGAATTTGAAGGTAAAGGGATAAAAAAAATTATTAAAATTCAGAGCTTTTTAAGCATATATATCTTCATTAACTCACTGTCCTAAATTAATCCAATTAAATTTGGCAATGAAGTTTAAACTATTCTGAAAACTACTTTTCTAGCTTCATACCTGGTTATTTTAATCCAGGCCAGTTAACTTAAAAAATCAGAAAACAGGCCGGGCGCGGTGGCTCACGCCTGTAATCCCAGCACTTTGGGAGGCCGAGGCGGGCGGATCACGAGGTCAGGAGATCGAGACCATCCCGGCTAAAACGGTGAAACCCCGTCTCTACTAAAAATACAAAAAATTAGCCGGGCGTAGTGGCGGGCGCCTGTAGTCCCAGCTACTTGGGAGGCTGAGGCAGGAGAATGGCGTGAACCCGGGAGGTGGAGCTTGCAGTGAGCCGAGATCCTGCCACTGCACTCCAGCCTGGGCGACAGAGCAAGACTCCGTCTCAAAAAAAAAAAAAAAAAATCAGAAAACAGATAACCATTACTGTTCATATGTTATGTTAAATGTTTGAGGTCACATGATATGAGAAACTCTGAGGGAATAGGGTGAAAAAGCAAACCACAACCACACACGTATGCGTGTGCATGGACACCCACACACACAGAAGAAAATAAAATAAAATAGCATCCTATATATAAGGAGATTATAGAATGTTGGAATTAAAAATCATTTTCCTTGGTTCATTTGATCAAGGATGTGATGAGTTTCAAACGAAGACTGACCTGTCATTGTAAGTTATCTTCCATTGGTCCCTCCAGTCCTACTCATCTCCATCTGGCTCTCTAGGTCACAGAATGTACATGTAATATTAGCAGGCTGTCTGATGGCCAGTGATGATGAGCATTTTTTCATGTGTTTTTTGGCTGCATAAATGTCTTCTTTTGAGAAGTGTCTGTTCATGTCCTTCGCCCACTTTTTGATGGGGTTGTTTGTTTTTTTCTTGTAAATTTGTTCGAGTTCATTGTAGATTCTGGATATTAGCCCTTTGTCAGATGAGTAGGTTGCGAAAATTTTCTCCCATTTTGTAGGTTGCCTGTTCACTCTGATGGTAGTTTCTTTTGCTGTGCAGAAGCTCTTTAGTTTAATTAGATCCCATTTGTCAATTTTGTCTTTTGTTGCCATTGCTTTTGGTGTTTTGGACATGAAGTCCTTGCCCATGCCTATGTCCTGAATGGTAATGCCTAGGTTTTCTTCTAGGGTTTTTATGGTTTTAGGTCTAATGTTTCAGTCTTTAATCCATCTTGAATTGGTTTTTGTATAAGGTGTAAGGAAAGGATCCAGTTTCAGCTTTCTACATATGGCTAGCCAGTTTTCCCAACACCATTTATTAAATAGGGAATCCTTTCCCCATTGCTTGCCATCAGAGAAATGCAAATCAAAACCACAATGAGATACCATCTCACACCAGTTAGAATGGCAATCATTAAAAAGTCAGGAAACAACAGGTGCTGGAGAGGATGTGGAGAAATAGGAACACTTTTACACTGTTGGTGGGACTGTAAACTAGTTCAACCATTGTGGAAGTCAGTGTGGCGATTCCTCAGGGATCTAGAACTAGAAATACCATTTGACCCAGACATCCCATTACTGGGTATATACCCAAACGACTATAAATCATGCTGCTATAAAGACACATGCACACGTATGTTTATTGTGGCATTATTCACAATAGCAAAGACTTGGAACCAACCCAAATGTCCAACAACGATAGACTGGATTAAGAAAATGTGGCACATATACACCATGGAATACTATGCAGCCATAAAAAATGATGAGTTCATGTCCTTTGTAGGGACATGGATGAAATTGGAAATCATCATTCTCAGTAAACTATCGCAAGAACAAAAAACCAAACACCGCATATTCTCACTCATAGGTGGGAATTGAACAATGAGATCACATGGACACAGGAAGGGGAATATCACACTCTGGGGACTGTGGTGGGGTGGGGGGAGGGGTGAGGGATAGCATTGGGAGATATACCTAATGCTAGATGAGGAGTTAGTGGGTGCAGCGCACCAGCATGGCACATGTATACATATGTAACTAACCTGCACAATGTGCACATGTACCCTAAAACTTAAAGTATAATAAAAAAAAAAGTATAACAAAAAAAAAGAAAAAAAATAAACAAAAGAAAGTAAAAATGTGGAAAAAAAAATTAGCAGGCTGTCTTGTACCCCTAGCTTCCCATTGGATTCTTCCAGTGAAGAACTCCTGCCTGACATCAGAAGAAAGTAAAAGAGTAAGGTTAGTCTTTATTCTCCTACCAACATCTATGTGCTGTTACCTTGGGCTGCATCCCCTGAGCATATCATTTGCCTCTCAAAATAGCCTTCTTTCCTGCTTTATTTTGGTAATCATGCTGTCCCCATTCCTCTGGGCATAATGGTGAGAATAGCTCTGGATTTAGTAGCCACATTATCTTGTAGCTCTTGGACATCCACTTGTACTTGTTTAAATAGCCCCTTTATTAAACATTTCTCGAATTATCTCAATTTGAGTATGCCATATGTTTCATATTTGGACCTTGTATAATTCTAGAACAAAAATAAAACAAGCATACAATAGGACTATATTTCTGTAGTTGACCTATTATGTTTATCTTGGGAGAATCTGTTTATTTAATATTATCCTTTTCTTCATTTGTGAGGTTTTGCTTTTTGACAGGTGAGGTAAGTAGGCATGATCAAATCTTAGCAGTCATGTTGTATACACCTTTGACATAAGTAAATCTATCTTAGAAAAATACTTAATCTTGTATTTCAAAAGGCACCACGCCGACAGGGTCCAGATGTTCGCCTAATTAATAGAGACAACATTCAACTGGATAAGGGCATCACTTTTTACTAAAATCCTCATCAGAGGACTCAAGGGCTATAAAAAGAGCAGTTCTTCACCAGCCAGACATCGTCACCTCAATAGACACTGTCTTGCTGTTACTTGCCGTCAGCACCTGGCATCTGCTGCAGAAATCTCTGCCCAAATCAAGGACTCTTCCTTGCACGATGTTTGCAACCATCTAGATCAGCCCGAGACACTCTGCCTGTGTGCCTCACTCTCCTTGGACTGATTCATTCATCTCTTTTTTTCCTTTTTTCTTTTGATGTCATATGTTGCTTTGTTTTATGGGAAAAATTTAATCAATAATATTTAGATACTGATTAAGTATACTACTATCTATGGCTTGCAGGATTGACTGACTTGGGTACTAGCTTGAGCCTGTGTTCCCATGGCTCTGATTACCAACTGAGTAGTTAAGTACTAAGGAGAATTTCCTCCCTCTGTACTCCATGAGGCTGGTGGCTCTTATGATTGAATAAGCATCAATAAAAGTTTGACCTCATGAGAAGACACAAACATCTGTGGACTTCGTTATGTCTGACCTTACACTGCTAACAACAGTCATATTTTCCAACAGAAAACTTTTGCCAGATTTGTTCAAGAAGTGATGTATGTATATGAAAACATCCAATTGTTGTTATTCTGGGTATTTGGAGTTTATCTATGTTTAACTGTCTAGGTTTACTATTATGTTTTTGTGTTTTATGTATAATCTGGCTTTTCCAAACAGATATTATGTGCTTCTCTTTTGGTATCTGTTATAGAAAACAACAACAATAAGAAAACTGTCTTTGGTGAGCCATAATGGCACGTTGATTATTCAAACTCTTCTATTAATTATTAATATATTAATATAAGAATGTTTTTAACATCAGCTAATAAACATGAGCATCTACCTTTACATTTAACACTTCCTAATGTCAAAGGCATTTCTATGGAACACTTCTGAAAAATGTCTATGGGAATTTTTTCTTAGAAAGTTTAATGAAATGAAGTAATTCCAGAAGATACTGCATAACATATCCCATGACATCAGAGGAAAGTAAAAGAGTTTAAGGTTAGTCTTTATTTCCCTAACAACATCTATGTGCTGTTACCTTGGGCTGCATCCTGTGAGCATATCATTTGCCTTTCAAAATAGACAGATTAACAATATACGTTAAAGGCTCTGAGAAGTACTGTATTAAAGAAACATAAACACCTATTTCAATCCAGAATTATTTGACATTTTGTGTAAAACTTAACATGTAAATTATTTTTCTAAATAATCTATTTTAAGTAAAGTTGACTATAGAGGTAATAATGGTGGTAACTGGCAAAATTTTGTGATTTCTTTTAAAATGTTTTATTCACTTCTCATAAGATTTCTTCCTAAAGAGTAACAAAATTTATGATCATTGTCTGTCATCATCCCCAAAGTCTTTGAAAAATATCAAGACAGGATAGTAAATAAATTGGCCCTACTACTAGAACTTCAATGAAGTTTTAAATTTTCTGTGGGATAATCCAGAAATACTGAAATGAGAGAGTTAGCTGCTCTTGTGATTCCAGGGCATGCAGTATTCCAGCTACTTGAAGAGGATGATGTAGGAAAACAGAGAAGTTTGGTAGAAGATTTGATATAAACTAAGATTCTCACTGCACCCCCATCTGAGAAACAGGGCATACACAAACATAACAGTAACTCACCATGAAACGTTTTTTCAATCATAGGGCACATATCCCTCAGTGTGTCTCTTAGAGTGTTCCTGACTATGGAGCCAGGACAAGGGATTAAAGAATGTGCATAGTTAAGAGAATGTCACCCCAATGTAATTCATTCAACTTTAACTTGAATGTATCGGTGGAAACTACTATGTTGACAGATCAGGAACTATGTAGCTGCAATGCAACTTATTCAGTCAATGTTTTCCTATGCTCCTGCATAACCCAAGAGAGAGGTATATGCTAGGAGGTGCTTATCCTCCTCATTATATTCCTGTAACTACCGTTATCATTTGCATATCTTTGAAAGCAAGACTATTTGTTTCCATAAAATTGTGTTAGAAAAGAGTCTATATATAATTGGGAAAATTATGCATGTCAACAGTTTTTCTGTAATTCTGTTGCTCAAAGAGCAGCGATGTGTGATTAGATTTTTGTAGAGCAGAAAATCCTACATCTCACAGACGTCTCTGTATACGTTGAAAACTTCTAGAACGAGCTAATCTACTTTACTGAACATTTGAAGTATAGCATACATATATAAAAGGGCATAAATGAGCGTAGAGTTTGATGAAGTTTTACTCAATTGAAGAAATTTATAATCAGCAAACAAACCAAGTATTAGATAATTTCAACACCCTAAAAATCTCCCTTAATCCCTTCTTTCAACTACTATCAATAAAAGGTAACCACTAAGCTGACTTCTAACACCTTAGGTTAATGTTAACTATTTTTGAACCTTATATAAGTTTAACTTTACTTATATAGGTTGTTTTTGCTCAGTAATATATTTCTTAAAGTTATCTATATTACTGTGTGCAATTGTACTTTATTCATTCTCATTGTTGTGTGATATTCTATTGTTTGAATTAACCACAATTTATCTTTGTATTTTTTCTATTGATGAGGACTTGAATATTCTTCAAATTAGGTCCATTGCAAGTAACGCTGTTATAAGCATAATTATACATTAATTTCCATCAATATATCCAAGCACTTCTTCTGGGTATGCTCCTTTGAGTAAAATTGCCAGGTTACAGAATATTCTGTATTAGCGGGCACTGACAATTGTTCAATGTATAACATCTACCATCCCACCAGGATTGACCTTTATCCTCACCAATTTTAGTATTTTATCTTTTTAAAATATTAGCCAGACTATTAGGTATATGGCAATATGTTACTTTGTTTTTAAGTTTGTGTCCTAACTGGCTCATAAATTTAAAGTTAATTTTTAATTGTAACTAAAAAATTAAAGAAAATTTAAAATTAAATTTAGTCAAGGACACAAATGGATCACTGTCTTTATATTCACTATAAATTGTTCTGTGAAGCATCTATGATATTTATCATAATTTTATATTAGATAGTTCTGTTTGCATATTGATATATAGACATTATATATTTTGGATATGAATGTATGTGTGAGTGTGCAAGCATATATACACAAACATGCATATATATGGGTGTTTATGTGTATACATACATATATTAATAAATGCACCCAATAATCTGTGGATTGCCTTTTGATTATCTCAACAGTGTTTTGATAATAAGATTTAATTATAACACAGCTTAATTTATCATTTTTCTTTATGGTTACCATTTTTTTTCTGTCTAGGTAATTTTTGCCCACTCCACAGCAATAGGATGTTCTCTTATGTTTTCTTTTAGAAAATTTTTTTTATACTTTATATTTAGAGGTGTAATATACATGTCAAAAATTAGGCCCTTTTCAAAAATGCTGTACTATCTGGTCTAAGCATTATGTTTCCTTTAAGACCTATGAAAAAGCATTATCCAGATAATTAACAAAAAGATCAATAGCTGTTTTTATGGACATTATACTTGTACCTACTACTCTCAACAATTCAACTAATTGGAATTTTTATACTCATTTTCCAAAAGGGGAAACTTAAATACACAGAGCATCTAAGTGACTTGTACAATGCTAAGATAGTGAGTGGCAAAAGTGCAACCAAGATTCTTAATACCCATATGAAAACTGAAAAAGCATAATTGGCTGAACTATTGCTTTAATATTTTAGTGATGCTGCTATTTTGCATGTACAGAGGCACATCTGGTAAAAATTCACAATACATCTCTTGAAATCAAAATTATTCCATTGAGATTAGTTTATGTGTGAGACTATAAATACTCAAACGTTTAAACTATAAAATATACATATTTTCTATTTTCTATAGGTTAATTATGCTTGCAAATGAAAACCCTCACTATGAGCTGTCAGTGTACATAAATAAAAATATATTCAATCTCAGAATTATTCTAATATATTATGACTGCTGAAATCATGGAAATAAATTATTATAGATATAAACGGCAGCAAAGTTCCCACATCCCTATTTTGAAAGTTTAATATATATATGTGCATTAATATTATACATTACAATATTAGATCAGTTTTGTCTAATAATTTCAATATGAAATATTGTAATGGTTTCTTGATTTTTACATATGAAAAAGCTCAGGTTTACAAGAGTGATATGGCACACCTACATTCAGTAATTGCAAGTATTAAATCATCTCACTAATACAACAATTCTGTTTCCCAAGTTGATTAGGTAAAAACCCAGTGTCACCCTTCACTTGTCTGTTTCACTTACATGCCACGTTCAAGCCATTAGTAAATCTTCTTGGCTACACATTCAAAATACAACAAAAATCAGGCTAGTTCTTAAAACCCACAGGAATATGTTCTTCATGCCATGGACTTCTTTCACCTAGAATACACCAATAGTGTCCTAAATGAATTGCACGTTTCTAAACTCACACAAGTCCCCAGGTCAGGCTGTTGGGTGTTCAGAGTTGAAAAACACTGATGATAAACAAACAAATACCACTTCTACACAGAATCCTTTAGTAATTTTCTATCTCCTTCAGAGTAAAAGCTAGGGTTCTTCACCATCTGTATTCTAATTTCTTCCTCATCTCTCTCCCATTCATTCAGGTCTAGCCTAAGCACACTTGTCCTCAATGCTGCTCCTGCACGTAGCCTGCTCCTTTCATAAATCTGCATAACACACTGTCTCATTTCATTCAAATATTTTTCAAATGTCATCTTAACAGATTTCTTTCACAACTCTTTTAATTAAATGGCAACATTTAGTCACCAGGAAAATTATTCCCTATTATTTGGCTTTAGGGTGCTTATCATCAACTGATATCTCTTATATCATTTGCTCATTGCTTTATTTTACTCCTAGAAATGTATGTTATGTGGGAACAGAAACTTTGTTTCATTAATGGCTGCATCAACAATATCTAGAAGAGTGTCTACCATACAGCAAATGCTCAATAAGTATGGGTTGAATAAATAAATGCTAGAAAGTAAACTTAACATAACCAATATTAAGAACACACTATAATTCAGACATGGTAAGAAGGTATAGCCCTTAATTTCAAATAGCTGGGGCAATTTAAAAAAACTAGTTATAACAAAGTATTATATTATCCATTGGGTGAAAAGAAGCAAAAGTATCATGTTCTAGGCATGAAGAGGAATTATCATTGACAGATCAGAAAGTCTAAATGTTACAGATACTGGGCTTCAACCAAGATTTTTGATTTGTATTATAGACTCTTTGAAATATATAAATTGTATAAGGGAGTGATTTTTTAATGTTATTATAATATGCATATGTTTTGATCCAGCCTGAAATCTCTGTCTTTAAATAATTTAGCCTATTTACATAAAATTTAATTGTTAACATATTAGAGTTCTGTATTTATAATCTTTGAGAATAAAGTTGTAATTTCATTTTTATTTCTGGATTCCATCATTTATGCTGAGAAGGCATTTGCCAACCTTATAATTATTTCTTTGAAGATGTAATATATCTTCGTTCTCTGGTTGTTTTTTGATAATTTTTATCATTTTATTATAGCAGTACTTGATATGCCTAGGTGTTATTTCTTTGTATTTATGCTAACAAAATTATTTAATATGTGATTAATTTTTTTCAGTTTTGTAAGAAGTGTCAACCTTTTTCTCTTAACGTATCACTTGTATCCCATTCATTCTTTATGGGAATCCAATTATGCATATGTTAGATATTTGCATGATAACCCATAGATTTCTCATTTTCTTAATTTTTTATATTTATGTTTTAATTTACATATCTGTTTACTCATCTTACACTGCATTAATTTTTCTTCAGTTCTAGAATTTCAGTATGATTCTTTTTATAGTGTCCATTTTTTTGAAAATTCCTACATGTCCAATTATTGCAAGCATATTTTTCTATTGACCCTTGAGCCAAGTTATACAACATGGTTCAAAAGCTTTGCCTTTAATTTACAACATCTGGGTCATCTCAGAATTGTTCTTCTTATGTGGCTCTTCCCTGAGTATATTTGATATTTTTCTTCATTTACTCTTTTATTTGGTAATGTCTGAGTTGTATGTTAAATATCTTGAATGATACTTTTCCTCCAAAGAATATTTTTTTTATTGTTATCTTTCATAGTCATTTGCCTTGGCTGGGCTCAATTCAAATTCTACCTCCCTTGTCATGCAAGGAAATTTCAGCCCTTAACTGGGCTGCTTAGAGTTTATTCTCCACACACATAGTTCAGGGATAAGCCAGCGATTTATAACCAATTTAAATGAAGAAATTGGAGTTAAGTGGGAGATTTTGGCACAGTTTCTATACAGAATTTATACCTCAAATTTGCTGCTTATCTGTCCTGTCTTGTATTTCCATCTTAATTCCTAGCTGCTATATTCATCCCAAATTCTGCTCTGTTTGTTCAAGCCAGTGAGTGTGATTGTGTTTTTTCAGAATTTGGCTGCCCCACATAGTGCTAATGGATGCCAGTTTTCAGGCAAGGATTTAAAAATATAAATGTACACAGTCCCTTCTTTTTTTTTTTTTTTTCCAAATGCTGCCTGACATTTCCAATCTAGCTTTTTTTGGCCATTCAATAATTGCCTTCAGGTACTTGGTTTTACATTTTACATTTTATCTAGTTTTAAGAGGTTATCTGTTAGGGAGTTTGGTCTGATAGAAATTACTCCACCATTGCATGTAGCCTCCAATTTTGTCTTCAGCTGCATTTATTCCATTTGGTAGTTGGTTTTACTTATTGATAAAAGTCGTTCAATTAAGAACAAGTTATTGAATGGAGATTTATATTTTAACCAAATCTTTTCAAATGTTCTTATAGGACCTGCTTGCTTTGACCATCTTATTTTCACACAATTATTTTGGTTTTTTGAATACACTTCACCTGGGGCAATTATTATGAGCATCATATTTTCTTTCTTTGTTACATAATTCACTGAATTTTAGTTTAAGATTTGAATTTACATTAATTTTTCCTCTTCCACCATCTGCTTTGCCTGACTTTGCTATTCCCCCTACTAAGTTCTTGCTTTCTTTTAATTATGTTTAACAGTTTTGATATAGGGAAATTTAAACTCTATTGCAGATTTTAATATAATACTTTTACAATTAAGAGGGATTTAAAGTGTAGATTTATGAATGTCTACACTCATTCACATTTCTGTTCATTTGACAAAAATTAAATGAAACTTCTCATGTGCCAGACAACCTATTAGTTATTGTGGACACAGTGATAAATAAGAACCTAATCCTGATGCTCATGAAGATCATACACATTTTAATTGGTGCAGTGCAACACACACAACTAAACCATAATAATATAATCAATATACTAGCTAGAACAGATGAATAAAATTTCCTACAGCCCCATTCGAATTTCATTTTATAGAAAATAATTTGTTGTGCTTGTCTTTAACATTGTAGAGTCAAACATGAAGGCTTTAAGAGAGCCTCAGTATTTCCTATGGAAGCTCTCTTTTCCCTTTTAAAAGAATCCTTGAGGATGACTCTCATTTATTACATTTTTGCAAGGATTTTGCACATCATATAAGGTTTATTCCCATTGTCAGCCTTCAACCCAATTCCGTTTTTATACTCAAAAATTCACCTTGTGCAGTTCTCACATAATGCCGAAATGATTGAAATGTTGGCAGTTCATTTATTACGATTTCAATGCTTTGAAAGAAAGGATTTGTAAAACGTGTTAGAAGCTCTAGAATGTTAACACTCAAATCTCACTCTGTTTCTAACTAAGCTAATATGTGTATGCATTTCTACAAGGTCAATGGAAGGTATATCTACTCACTGAGAAATTGAAAGTCTTCTCAGAGACACCGAAAACACAGCAAGAATACCTCAAGGCCACTATTTCAAATAGAAACAAGTGTCAGCTAGTTCCAAGGAATTCATTCATCATTTCTTTCAGCAAAGAAATCAGGTCTTCCTCTACAGGAACAAACTTTGTCTTCTCTGAGTAGGTAGACTGGGCCCCTCTGTGGGCAGCTCATTCCCAATAGTGAAAGTGAAGAGAAAAGTCCTCAAATACACATGCTAAGTTACTTTCTAAATATCAGTCCAGCAAGTGAATGAGGAGAGAGGACATGGTGTTAATAAAATAAGATATACTTCCACATTGAAGGCAATATCAGGGTTGAAATAAACCCCTTCCCAAGTAGATATATGTTTTGGAATCATCATTCAAATTTAATTGAAATGGCAACATGGTAAAGATATGAGTGAATAGAAGAAAGAATAAAGAATGGCCAATGGCAGGGCTCTGAAGAACACTGACATTTAGAATACTGGTGGAAGCAGATGATTTGGCCAAGGGGATTGTGGACTGCCAGACGCTTAGGATGGACCCCAAAGGAAATAAATATAGAGAGGAGAAAAGTTTAGGAAGAAGGAGTAAGTAGTCAAGAGCGAACATGGATTTTGGTCAAAGGCATGAAAGTACGTACTGAAAACCAGAAGTGATTAGCTGATTACAACTTTCCTTCGAACTGTACTATAATGGTAAATGGCAAATGAGAGGAAACAGACTGTAGAAAAAAATTACTTGTTTTACCTAAGTAAAGATGCTATTTTTTTAAGACAGGAAAACTTTGAGATATTTATATTCAGTAAGGAAAGACTAAATATGGAGAAAGTGAATCTATGGAAGAACAAAGAGATTGACCATGTCCATTGAGCAAACAGGAGGATATCAGATTCAGAATAAGTAAAATATAAAACCATGAGTAAGTGAAAAATAGACAAATAGATCAAATAAACAATATAGCGACCCCAGAAATAGACCTAGATAAATATAGCTACTGATCTTTGACAAAGGAGAAAAGACAATGTAATGGAAAAAATACAGTCTTTTCAACAAATAATGCTGGAACAACTGGACATCCACATGCAAAAAAAAAAAAGATATAACCCTTACATCTTTCACAAAAAGTAATTCAAAATAAATAATAGATCCAACTGTAAATTGCATAACTACACAACTTTTAGAAAATTACATAGTAGAAAACCTACATAACCTTGGGTTTGGCACTTAGTTTTAGATAGGACATCAAAGTCACAATTCATGAAAGAAAGAATTGATATGCTGGATTTCATTAAAATTTAAAACTACTCTAGAATGAAAATGCCCAGAGAATGAGAAGACAAGCCACAGACTGAGAGAAAATATTTGCAAAGAACATATTTGTTAAAAGACTATTACCCAAAATATACAAAGAACCATTAAAACACAACAATTAAAGAATGAACAATCCATTTAAAAAAAATGAGTTAAAGCTACGAACACATACTTCACCCAAGATGATATGCAGATAACAAAGAAACATACAAAAAGATGCTCCACATCACAGGCCATTAGGCAAATGCAAATTAATAACACAATGAGATACCATTGCATACCTATTAGAATGGCCAAAATCCAGAACACTGGCAAAATCAAATGTTGGTGAAGATGCGATACAACAAGAACTCCATTTGGTAGTTGGTTTTAGTTACTGATAAAAGTCATTCAGTTAAGAACAAGTTATTGAATGGAGATATACATTTTAACCAAATCTTTTCACTTTGTAAATGTTCTTATAGGACCTGCTTGCTTTGACCATCTTATTTTCACACAATTATTTTGGTTTTTTGAATACACTTCACCTGGGGCAATTATTATGAGTATCATATTTTCTTTCTTTATTACATAATTCTCACTCACTGAAGAGAATCACAATGGTACAGCCACTTTAGAAGACTATTTCTTACGAAACTAAACATGGTTGTATCCTGTAATCTAGTAATGATACTCTTTGGTATTTATACAAAGTAATTATAAGCTATTTCTGTGGAAAAACCTGCACATGAATGTTTATAGCAGCTGTATTCATAAATGTCAAAACTTGGAAGGAATCATAATGTCCTTCAGAAAGTGAATGGATAAATAAACTTTGGTACATCAAGACAATGAAATATTATTTAACATTAAAAAGAAATGAGCTATCAAGTCATGAAAATACACAGAAGAAACGTCAGTGCATATTATTAAGAGAAAGAAGCTGACCTGAAAGGGCTACATACTATATGATTTCAAATATATATATTCTGGAAAAGGCAAAACTTTGGAGACAGTAAAAAGATCAGCGGTTGCCAGGGACTAGGAAATGGGAGGGATTTATGGGCAAAATACAAAGGACTTTTAGGACAGTGAAACTATTCTGAATGGTACCATAATGGTGGATACATGTCACTATGTAGTTTTTCAAATCCATAGAAAGTATAACAGCAAGAGTGAACTTTAATGTAAACTGTGGTTTTTGAGCGATGATGATGTATCAGTGTAGGTTGGTCAGTTGTAATAAATATATCACTCTAGTGGGGAATGTTGATAGAGGGGGAGGCTTTGTGTGCTGGGAGGGCAGGAAGTATATGGGAAATCTCTGTGTCTTCAGCTGAGTTTTACTGTGAACTGCAAACCGGTTTAAAGGTAAAGTCAATTTAAAAGAAATAAGCCCTTGACATGGATTGGGGATTGCTTGTTAAACGTATTCTGAGGCTTTGGTTAAAAGGAAATAAATGTGGATATAGATATGTTTCTAGGTGGTAGGATAGAAATTAAGAGTGTTTTTTGCAGAAAACCTCCTTTTTATAAATTAGGTAAAAAGAAAGTGAGGCAGCATTGAAAAAAAGTAGTAAATGTTAGGAACATCTTTATAGCAAATAAAAATGGAATAACTATTGTATAGACTATAGGTTCTTATTGGTACCTATCAGCTTTGCTATATCTTTTTTCTTCCTTGTACTTGTCAGCTGCATAGATTTAAGAAAAGCAGAGTAGTATTTTGATTTATACACAGCTGGAGAATTGCCAAGTAAGATCGTTAAAAGACAAAAAGGCAAGGGAATTAAAGATGGCGAGAAAGGAGCTACGTAACTCATCAGTTACAGGGAAAAGTAGAACAGAGAATGCCTAGTAAGATGCTTAATTTTATTAATAGTCACAGGATGAAACAGAAGTCCTAATATATCACACTTTTATCATTTTTTTGTTTTCATTTTATGAGAAGGAAGAAACAATAAAAATATGGTGCCAGTGTAAAATATATTTAAATATAATGTCTCATAAACCATTTGGTATTGCTGATATTAATTGATGAAATCAGAAGCCTCCTATTTTGATCGACTTTCCTATGGTATTTTGCAATAACAACCAGTAAATAGGTCAATCTTTCATTCAGCTTTATGTAATAGATATTTATTTCTGTTCTTGTCACACATCTAAATAAATTGAAATGGAGTATTGGTTTTCTTAGTGCATGTATTACAGCAAATGGAAATGAGAATCTATTTTGAGCTCCTCTTCTGACTTGTAATTACTCAAATATTTAAATGAGGTAAATTTAGGGAGTCCTGTGAAGAATATTTTTTTCTTTGAATATGCCTGTTAAGGTCATACAGAAATAAGCTTTAGGATTTTTTTATCCATATGCTCAAGAATAATATCATGGAAGATAGACTTGCATATTATGAAATATAATGATAGAGCACTAAATAGTACTGGTAATAAATTCAAACTAAAGCCAGTGAGTTGTTTGATAATACTCTTCGGGGAACATATAAACAACAATACGATATTCCAACATGATGTGGTTAAGGTCTCAGAGCCCATTATAAAAAATTAAAATTTATATAAATCATAAAATATATCAACCCCTGATATGATTGCAGATAGTAGGTTTTTAAAATTCCTTTCTTTGTTCTGCTTCTTATAACTCTGTAACTACAGCTATGTGGGACATATATTGTCTTCTCAACTTAACAATGGCTTGTCTTCACTTAATGGCAGCATTGGTTCCAAGTATTTGTTTCGTAGCTGAGTTACATATTCAAATAAAATGTATAAAGCTTAAAGAGTTTCTAAAAACATTATTATATATTTTAGAATTTTGTTATATTTCAAAATGTACTTTTTGCTTAAGAATTACATAAAACTTAGACATTTAAGTGTGGGCCAATCAAAAAATAAAGATAATTTGCATTTTTCACACATTTTAAAATATGCAGTCCTATAGTTTTGAAATATTTTACATTTATGTCAACTTCATTCACTTGCAGATTAAATAAGTGTTTCCAAATGATAAGATTTTTTACCTACATTAATAAGCTTGTTCCAATTTAACAGATATTGCATTTTTTGACTTCTTGACTAATTTATTACAAAAGCTTTATAAGTTTTTTGGACATTATTATACTCACCAATTTATCCTAAATTGATTGTAGTCCTTCTTCATATTCATTCAAGGAGCTAGAAAGAATCAATCATAACTCCCTATATCCAGGACAAAAAACTGACCTATATATTATTTGCATTTATCAATAAGTGTTTATGAGGTCATGATTTATTTTACTGAAACATGTACTATATTCCCTATAAGTTTACACTCTCATAGAGGTTATATGACATGAACATAAATTACCATTATATAAGACATCTTGCAATAATTGGTATAAAATCGGTACAAAGAGTCATGGAAGCAGCATTAAAAGTATTTAGAGCTAAATCCCAGAAGATGCCATGAAGGAAAGAGCATTTGGATGGGCTTCTGAAAGAAATGTAGATCAATCCATTCCATTTTCAATATCCATTAACAGTGAATTTTAAATTCAATAAGTTGTTATTTCTATTCGGACACCACTCAGGTTCTGTAGATCATTTTCATTCTATTTCCACTTTGAATTGTACTCTATTTTTTGCTTTGAAATCCTTATTCCTTTCATCCACTATTGTAATTTTCTCTTTTGGTTATGGGATATTTAATAGAGTTAGGTAAGCACGGTACTTTCCTGGAGGTAGCACATAAAACCCAGAATAGTCAACAGTGTGGTTGCTTCACCTGTTTTCCCAGGAAATTGGCAATGGCACCTCAGGTGACTTAACTCTTTATTTCTTCTTCTTGTTTCAATTTTTTAAAGTATATAAACACACACATGCATGCACACACAGTATGTACCAGGCTACTATGATCTTCTTCACATTTTGCTTCCAAAATTTGAATAAAAAAAAATTAAATGTCAAATGTATATGTTAAATGTGAGGAGAGTTTGACAAAGCCCAAGACCTTGCTCCAAACTTTTCCTGTTCTCTAATTTTGATTCATTTGAGAATCAGAATAAGTAAAGCAAATACATATTTAAACCTCCCCTTTATTAATGAGAGGTCAGCTTTTAGGGAATGAATGTAGTTTATACAATGAGCTCCACGACGCGAACTCCAAGGTTAGGCAGTGCAGGGCCTGAGCAGATCTTTCACCACAGGAACAAACATTTTTTCTTTCTCAGTAGGTAAAACAGGGCCCTGTCTGCTGGGCAGCTCACTTCCAATAGGGAGAAAAGAGAGGAAGGGCCCTGAACACACATGCTAATTCTCCCCCTTTTTAATTCTTCAGTCAGACAAGTGAGTAAGGAGAGAGGAAGAAGTGTGTGTGTATGTGTGTGTGTGTGTGTCTTTGTGTGTGTAGATCTCTCTCTATATGTTTTGTAAAAGATACAATGGAATATATTTGATTTTACTATGCTGTTGAATTTTAAAACCACCATCATGATATAAATCTTTTTCATCATCCTTTGCAGTGAGGCCCCTCTTTCCACCTCCATTACCAGGTAACACATAATCTGTTCTCTGTCACTGTAGTTTTGCTTTTTTAGTATTTCAAATGAATGGAATCATGCAGCATGTGGAGTTTTGTGTGTGTCTTCTTTCACTGAGAATAATAATTTTGAGATTCATCTCATGTTGTTGCATGTCTCAATATCTGTCCTTTTTATTGCTATTATTTTTTGTATGGATAGAACAACAATTTTTTACATATACACTTTAATTTAAATTGGTTTATATCCAGTTTTTTGACTGCTATGGATAATACAGATATGAACATTTGAGTAGAAGTCTTTGCATCGACACACATTTTTCATATAATTTTTGCAAATACCTAGAAGTGGTATTGCTGGTTTGTGCAGTAGTTGTATGTTTAACTTCATAAGAAATTATTAAACTCTTCTCCAAAGTAACTGCACCATTTTGGATCCTGCCAGCAATAGACACAGATTTGACTTGTTCCACATCCTCAATTCCCTAAGACTATCTAGCCCTTCATATAACACAGATTTTTATTTTCAACCCTGTTTGTTAATGATACCAAGTGCATGTCTGTGTAAACTGCATAGCATTACACCATTTTTTCCCCAAGCTGACCGGTTTTGTCTTTCATTAAGGAACTTCAGTCAATGTAGTATAGAATAACACACTCAAACACTGAGTTATTCCTTCAGTTTATATTATGTTTAACTTAATTTTTACTTTACATTATTTCATTCTTTTTTTTATCCTTTCTTGTCTGGTTTAGTGAAGTTTTTTTCTCTTTATTCCTCTTTTTTCTAATAGTTATTTTCCAATTGTGGGTAATGGTCATTAAACACATATTTCTCTTCTTTAATTTCAAGTTCCCTTGTTTGTCCAGTGCTCCCTCAAAATAGTATGATTAAAAATAGAGAATGTTTTTGCTTCCAAAAGTCACCTCCCCTTAACACATTCCTTATTTAAAATTCTTAATATAATTCATAAATATATCTCATTTATAATTTTAAATTTTCCTTCTCACTGACAATTTGAAAACTTTAAAATTTGAAATAGTTTGTTAGGTATAATCTTAAATTATTATAGACTTCTTTATATCAGGCGTTCTTAAGCTCATAGTCCATAAATAGAATTCAAGGTGTCTGCGAACTTGAATTGTGCAATATGGCCATAAATACTTTAACGTTTCTTCCATTGAGACTCAGGGCTTAATTCTCCTTTTCTCATTCTGTTTAAGATTTAGTGATTAGCTTGACCAATAGATTGTGGCGTAAGTGACATTGAGTCTCCTGAGGCTAGATTATAAGATGACTTGCAGCTTTTGCCTAGGTCGCTGAAGCTGCTCTTGAAAGTCTCCCTCTTGGAATGCGGCCACCATGAGAGGAGAAGTAAAGCTGAATAATAGCCAAATCAATTGACTACTACTTAGCCCTGATAGAGCCTTCAGGAAACCACACCCCCATCTGACATCTGATTAAATGAGAGATGTCAAGTGAAGATTTGCTCAGTCTAGTCAACTAAACAACTATGAGAGATAAAATGTAAAACAATTTTTAAGCCACTAAGTTTTGAAGTGCTTTGATACATGTAGATAAATAAGTAGAACAAATAAAAATATATATTTATATTTGCTAAAGTCCATTTAAAAATTGCATTTCATTCAGGTATATGTTTAAACAAAACCACTGTAGTATTTACAACACTTTTCTTTTGTCAACAATAGGAAAAATAGGTATTTTTATATGACATACAGTTGAAGTATATATTTTAAAATATCATTTACCAAAATTACTACTTTCAAATTATAAGATTATTATTCATGAAATAGATGTACTCATTTAGTGTGTTAATAAAGATACACATCATATTAGACATTCGTTTTTAAAATTTTGGAATTACATTTCAATATAATCGATTGTCTTTAAAATCCTCTGAATTTAATTGTAAGCATTTAAAAAAACATTATTCTGAAAGAGAGTCTTTAAGGCTTCGAAAGTCCCCAAAAGGGGTGCATGACACAAATATTGTTAAGAAACGTCCTTTTCAGTAGGTCCCTTTTTCCAAGAATCTCTGCTTAGTATTTCTATTACAAATGTCCATTCATCTAGTTTTAACAATATGGTTAAGAAATGGAGGAACAATATGTTAAGGTACATTGTTAGACTGAAAATGGAGTCTATAAGTACATGTATCTGTATTTTTGAATTTATGTCTTGTAGAAGTTACCAAATTCTAATATTGTATTTAGATCATGTACACCCAAGGGTAACTTTTCATTTTAAATTCCAGTAATAGCTAAAGTGACCACTACTCTGAACTTCTAATTTTCTAATTCCCTGTTCAGAAGTTTTAAAACAAAGTTTATGTCGCAAGAACATAGAAAACAAAAGGGATGAAATTTTTAAACCACTCGATAGGTCATCTAGAGAGATCATCTACAACTACAGAGAATAGCAGAATGCATATTTCTTTAACATTCTTCCCAACAATAAATATTTTTATAACTTTATGAAATTCTATAAAATATCCATAAATCAGGACAGACAGTTAAGCTGTCATGAGAACCTCAGAACTCAGTGGTTTAAAACAAGTGTATTTATTGCTTGTATAAAGACAGTTACTCTACCATGGGACAGTCTACGGTAGCTGTCTGCCATGGAATGATGCCGCTTCACTTTTATATCAATGAAGGTTTTCTTTGAGGCTGCAGCAGGAGAATGCTGGACATGATTCTACCAGAATGAAATGCTTGTATCCAGGGTGACACATGTTATAGTATCTCACTGTAATGGAGTTAAAACCAAGCAAATGCCACATATGCCTGGAATGGGGAGAACTGGATATCTGGCTGAATAGCATTGTTATCTACTATAAACAGTTTACACATTTTAAAGTTAATATATGTCTTAGAATTAAAGTCTCATACAGAAATATTTATCGTATAGTCAAACTGTAGTAAGAGAAATTGACAAACAGCATCTTTATGACATATTGATCACCAGGAAGACAAAACAGTTCTATAGCTTCTGGTAAGTCACAGAGCATAGGAAATGTAATCTTCATTAGATCTTTACCCAAATGTCTTAGTCATTTAGCAAGGCAATTTATCTTAGTTCACACTATTATAAATATTCTATATTGTTCATCATTCTTATTCTCACAAAGAGAGGCAAATAACTACATACTATTTGAATAAATAAAGCATTTTAGGCTCATATTTTATGTACAGACTTCTTAATCTATATCATAATTGAGACAATTCATAAAGATTGAATGGCAAGAAACATATATTATTTCATTCTTAATATTTTTTGCAAAAAAGTGCCCTAAACTTCTGATTCCATGATCTATCTTTCTTTCCAATCCTCTTCTCTCTCTCTCTCTCCCCCAACCACACACACACATCCGCAGCAAAACAAAGACACAGGAAGGCAAAGGAAAAGGAAGAAAGAAGCATTGTAGACAACAACAATTATAGACTAAGAGTGCAAATGAATTAAAGTTCAAAAGGATTGGTTTTCCAAATTTAAAATATTTTAAAAACTGAAGTATAAAAAAAGAAAAAAGAAAAATTGCCAAGCTTACCGGGACTATTCATCCCCAATTACTTTGTCCTGCTTGACGTATTCTGCACTTGTCTTCAGCTGCATCGCTGCACCTAGGTTATTCAGAAGTGAATTGTTCTGTATTATTATTTTCAAACATTTGGCATTCGTTCAGTGTTTTTGGATGTTGATTTGCCATTATACTCTTTCACATAATAAAGTTGGGTCTTTATCTTGTTCTTTGGTGTCTCCACAGTGCCACATTACCATCTGGTATACCATAGGTACTCAATCAATATTTTTGTGAATGACAAAATTAATAGATTAGACTGAACTTGTTAATCATTGTTATTAAGTTGCCCAAAATACTACTTCTTGTCTTCTTTTCTCTGAGAGAAATCATATTAAAATTTCTCACTATGGGTATGAGTTTGTGTTTTAGTTTTCTTCACAGTTTTATCACATTTGATTTTTATTTTAATATGTTGTATTTGATTGTATTGAAATTATAGGTTTATGTATTGTTGCCTTGTCTTTACATCAGCACTAAATGTATAGATGATTTCCTTTATTCTATTTTGTCTTCTATGAACATTTGTCAATTGCTGTCATTCTTCTTGGCATTGCCCATCAGATGGGCATTGCTAATGCCTGCAACAGGGTCTCCTTTGAGAGTTACCAGGCCTCAGGAAAAGTCAGCTGATACAAGCACCATTCTGCCTTTCCCAGCAATCTTCTGTCTGCTGCCTCTCAGCCTCTACTGCTATCAGTTCCTGCCACCCCAGAAGGGGAGCTCTGGCTATACTGTACCCATCTTGGGCAGTGGTTTCTTTCATGGGCTTTGATTCTCATCCTCAAAGCTATCTCACTCTACCCTGCCTACTTTCAGCTCCTCTGGAGTTCCATACTATGCTTGGACTTCTAAGAATCCTCCTGGTTTGGAAGTGAATGGATGCTTGGACCAAACACATTTTCATTGACTTCTGTGTTTGTCACAATGGATGGGGGCTGCAGCCTGTGCCCATGGAGCCACCTTGAAACCTGGAGCTTAGCATGGCACTTGAAATGGGACCCACTCTTTTCTCTCTGGATATTTCTATTAGTTATTACTTCAACTTAAGCCAAATAATTTACTTAGTCACTTGTTACTAAACCATGTTCCCTTCTGTTCCATTCTGTTATTTAATCTCACAAGATTCTTATGAACTATATGTTGAATTTAACATATTTTAGTAAGGGGCACTATTCTTTGTTGCAATCAGACATGAAATATCACTTCTACCATGTCGACTGTGGAAAATGAGACATAAATAAGGAATTTTATTACAATATGTGTGAAAAACTTCAGATATTGATTTGGATTGTTAGAATGTTGACATGTGTATTATTATACTTTTTATTGTTTCTATTTTATTTCATATCTAAAATTTATATTTTTCAGAAATAATTCAAATATTCTTCAACAAGGTAAATTAAGGATTTTTACATATTATTATAGTATATTTAAAGGGACTATATATTTTATTCTTTTATAATGAATATGACATATTACATACCACATTTCAAAAAAAAAGAAGAAATGATTGAATTGTGACTTCCTTTCATCCTTCTTTTAATAACTAGGGTTTCCAAAATAGACTTGTAAGTTGATTGCTTTTTAAATGAGTTTTAGTCAACCATCTCCAATTTGGTCTTTTAACTAATATAAGTATTAACTTGCTTCTTCTGAATTAGCAATCAGTAAGTAATTCAAATAAGCATTTAAGGATCCTGTCTCCTGGGTCCATCAAAGAATCCCAAATCCTTTTGATGGTAACGTCTTTTAGCCCATACCTTATCACGGAGATTTGGCATGGGTACTAAGTAGGACATCATAATGTCAAATGTGTTAGCCCAATGCGAGTGTCTTAATCAATTTACTGTCTTGGCTTAAGGCTACCTCTGGATTCTCCTGCCAAGGATAAATTTTGCACAATTTGTGATGTGGAAACATTTTACTTTAGCTGTTTATATAACTCTGACTTTTTCCTTGGAGGCTTACTGTACAAGTTTTCTATCCTTCCCTTCCTCTTTGATCTAAAGCTGTCAGAAATTCATTTACATTTCAGACTCTCTGGTTAAATACATGTCCTTTGGGTTATAAGAATTGCGAGATGACAGAATTGGACATAAATGTATAAATTTCATGATCTATTGAAGTATTGGTTACTCCATTTCATCCACTTCTTTTAAGAGTTTGTCTATTACGTGTTTTTGCATATGCGTGTGCATATATATAGATGTAAAATTATATACTTGTGTGCACATATGCACACACATTTAAAAATATATACACAAAATTCAGATGCCTTATTTTAAAAATACCCATATGGTGTAATTCCTTACTAATGTCAATTATTGAAAGAGTGTTTTAACTTTGCTTCTGCAATTATTCTGACTGCAAACCTAAATATATTTGTTGCCACAGTTTTGATATTTTTTCTTAGAAGCATTTGTTATACTAGAATTGTGTTTTTAAAATCACCCTCCCTTACATCTTTATTTTACCTAATAACTTTTTTTAAGTAATGGCTTTTCAGAGGTTATACCTAAAATGCTATTTATTGTGATTTGTTTTCCTTTTGAGAGCACATAAGAGTTGATTTAAACATACTTTGTCCTTGCTTTAATAATAATAAAAACTGTTGGTAATATATTTCCTATTTCAAGTTGCTATGGTCTCAAACAATTAGTAACCATTATTTTTAAACACTCTGACCATGTAAGTACAATTTTTTTAAAAATATTAATTTTTTTTTGCAAAAACAACCTAATAAAAGCTAGTGTGATTGTAGCTTTGGAGTTTAATTTAAAGCAATCTCAGGTTTAATATTAAATATGTTAGATATAAAAAGTATTAAATATATTGGTTTGACTTGTGTCCTAGTCTGTTTTCTGCTGCTCTAACAGAGTACCACAGACTGGGTAATTAGAGAATATGACTTGGTGTGATGGCTCACATATGTAATCCCAGGACTGTGGGAAAACTGCTTGAGCTCCAATGTTTGAGACCAGACTGGGCAACATAGAGAAACTCTGTCTGTACTAAAAATAAAATTTAAAAAAATAGCCAGGAGTGGTGATGCACACCTTTAGTCCCACATACTTGGGAGTCTGGGCTGAGAGGATTGCTTGAGCCCAAGAGATTGAAGCTGCAGTGAGCTATAATTGACTGCACTCCAGCTGGGGAGACAGAATGAGATTCTGTCTCAAAAAAAGGATATAACTTTACATGGCTCACGGTTTTCAAGGATGGGAAGTCCAAGAACGTGGAATCTGGCAAGAGAGAAATCTCATGGCAGAAGGACAGAAGGGCAAGTGCATGTGAAAAATAGAAGTACCAGAGGCCAGGCTTCATTTAATAACATAATGCTCTTGCAATAACTAACCAACTCCCATGATAATGACATTAATCTACTTATGAGGCAGAGTTCTCATGACTTAAAAACTTCTTACTAGGCCCCACCTCCCAATACTGTTGCACTGGGGATTAAGCTTCTAAAATATGAATTTGAGGACACATTCAAACCATAGCAGCCTGACTGTGAAAAATATAAACTCTGTATTTTAAACAGAGGCAGCAATATCATTTCTTTGTAAAGTTTGTTGAAATTCATTCAGTAATTTATAACTTTTAAAATATAATTTCATTTTAGTTTATTATATAAAGTATTAACTTAATTATGCATAATCTGTTTGCTGTTTATAAAGCTCTACCCTCAACCTACATCTTGCAAAGGCTACAAAATGAACACTAAAATTCTGTCAATAGGCTTAAATAACATGTGTGCAACTTTGTGGTTTTTTTCTTGAATTTAGTGAAGAAAATGGTTAACACATATAAAGAAAATAAACAACAGGAAATATAATAAAATTCTACTCATAAAACATTGAAAAAGTAACACCACAGTCTACAGTAATAAGCAGTAGAAGAACTAAGAAATAAGCCAACCTAGATAATGAAGTAGGAATCAAAAAAATATTCTACTGTAAAGGTCAACTTTAAATATAATATAATAAATATTAGACAAACAGAAAAACAAGCCAATGTATTGGAAATGGATACATATAAATATTGTTAAATCATTATCTCCTAAAATATGGTTTAATGATAAACTTATTGAATTAATTTTTCCTATTAAATTATCAACATTTTTTCTGTTTTTAAGTATTTGTAAGCATTAATAATTTTAACATGTTTAGCAGGACTAATAATAAAAATGACTTTTTAAAACCTTACTATCTTGTAACCCTCATCAGTTTATTAAAATATAGCTTTTTAAATTCTTGTCTAAAACAAGCAAAACAAAATAAATACTAACAAAAGCAAACTAAAAGTGCATACAGTGAGAGACATCACTTTTCATGCTTTTCAACATTTCATCTCTCAGTTTATGCTGCAACACTTCCCCTTTCCTTTCAGCATGTATAGAGAGAATAGTGATACCTGGGGAGAGTACTGTAAACACATTGAATTGCCTCTGTTCTATAGCGTTCGGGAGCTCACCGAGGTTGCTCAATCATGAATCATATTTATTTATCAAGCAGTCGGCACATGACACAAGCCAGGTCAACCAGAATTTTTCTTTAGGGCTAGTTACTTGCCTTTGACATAGAGGTTTTTTCCCCCTTTCTGATCTCCAGCTGAAAGGACAAGGACTAATTTTAACTGAAATTACATTTCTATTCCACATAACTTAAAAAAGCCCTAAAGAAGTGATTGTTTGATAAAAGAGTTACAGATTTTGTTTTGCCTTTTTAACATGGAGAATAGTGAAGAGTGAGGAATTTTTATCTTCCATGTGGCACAAATTAACATAATTGTCAGAATTTTCTTATTTAACTTTTGTCTTCTTCCAACAATCTAAGGGTTTCCCATTAAAACATTTTAAATGAAACAAAATAAGTTACTTTCTAATCCTGTTTATTTTATATGTTAAACATCTACATAAGTATGATCATAAATTCAGATGATATGTATTATTAACCTTATAGAAAACCCTTAACTTTCCTGCATTATTCAAATTATTTAATCATGCAGATGTGTTTTTCATCTTTTCTTTGATATAAGAATTAGGCTGATTTTTTTCCAAAGATAATGATTTAATGAGGTATCTGTGCCTGTGTATGCAGGTTTCTCTTCCAAGTTACCTATTCTTTGTCCTCATCCTCCAAAATGAGCTTAAAGTTTTTTATGTGGAAATTCTAAGATGCTCTTTATATAAGTCCTTAAAATAATTTAAGTAGAAGAATTTACTACATTTCAGCAGTGCTGCTTCCTGGTTTTGGAGAAAAAGGATATTTTATAGACATCTCATACACGACCCTTGGCTTTTTCCTGATTTTGGATTTGTGAGTTTCCTGATGGCTTTCTTTTATGCAGTGTGCCCTCTTACGATTCCATATACATAATGAGCTACAAGAAGAGAACTGAACTCCATTGGGAAAAGTTAGAGTGTGCTTATCAGCCAGGCTACATATTGACTGCAGTTGGTCTTGAGATTCTGCTCTGCATCTCTCTAACATACTCAGATTGACAGAGCAATTGCTTTTGTAAACATTGACACCAGGGCACAGCAAAAGAAACCGAGAATGAATCACACCAGCAAATTTTCTATTCATTGAACAGATATGGTCACATGACTCACACAAGATGAAAATACATGAAGGTGGAAATATATAAATAATGTCTATTACAATGGAATCATTTCATGTGACTACTTGTAATAAGCTCCTCATTACAGTTTTGTTTGGGTTTTAATTTTAATTCAGAAAGCTATTATTAGTTTTTATTACTCATAGGCCCAAAGATTTAAGATGACTGACTAAAAAATTCAGCAAATAGAAAATACCCTCTTGATCTGAGGTAACAATGTTTAAGTTTTAAAATAAAATAATTAATAAATAATTGTCAGGAGTGGGTTTAATTAGTAGACTTCTAAGCTATAGCCATTTTTTATCAAAGCAGAAAAAAAACAAGAAACAAAAATATAATAAGATATTGCCCCAAAATCCAGAGCAAAAACTAATTTACAGTATCAAGAGAAAAGTCATCCCACTGGTAGGGAGTAAGCCAATTATTCTTCTAGTCCCACACAACTGGCTACTTATGAAACATTAAAACCAAATCACTTCAGGCAAGTACTTTGTAATGGATTAACTTGTCCATGATGTAATCAAGCTTTAGAATAATATTACAAATGCCAAACAAGAATTTCAAACAGCAACATTGAGACACTTTGCCAGCTGAATCCATTACTGTAGAAAGAAATCCTTCAGGCAATGTTAGGTCACTGATTATAGCAATTTATTTCTCATTAGCTTATAACTACCTGACCTCTTCATCTGTTTCTGGTCTATGTAATTGCACTTCAGAATTTATACATATAAACTCATAAGGAATCATTTTGTTTCTTTCACTCAAAGAATGTGAGTATAATTTAATGCAAGTGATTATTCTCCAGAATTCTAGTCAGGAATGCTGACCGGTTGGTTCTTAGAAGTTGACGTTTAACAAGAGATTGATATATAACAAAGGAAAATCAGAGTCAGACATGTAGAGGTGCATGATTGTGACATTCATTATAGTATACTCAGAGAGTTCATATTGGTAGAAAAAATTACAAATTTAACATCCTTTATTCAATAAAATTCTAAAGGTATAGTGCAAACTTCAAGCTATAGAAAATCCCTAAATTATTAAAAAACAAACCATTTCAAAAGTACAAAAAGCAATGAGAAGCATTCTAAATTATCCAAATTTAGCATAATTCTGCTACTAAGGCTAAATAAGTGTATTAATATATGTATATTGCACTTGTTCCCTATGGCTGCTGTAACGAAATTACCACAAACTTAGTGACCTAAAACGCAAAATGCTTCTCTTAAATTTCTGAAGGCCAGAATTCTGAAATCAGTTTCCCTGGGCTAAAGTCAAGATCTTAGGGCAGTTGAACTCCCTCTGAGGCACTAGAGGAGGAAAATCCATTTCCTTGACAGTTCCTGCTTCAAGAGATGAATTCCTTGCATTCATTAGATCATACATGCACCTCTTTCATTGATTAGTCATCAGTGGTAGAGTGAAAGCTTTCTCTCTGTCCACTAAAGATCATGGCAATGACTGAGAGTAGACAGATGAATACAAGAAAAAATGTAACAAATTTTAAACATGAATATGGATATGCAAGTGCCTCAAATATGAAATTCAAAGTGGGGCCAGATAGTTGAGGTTTAAATACCTTCTTCACAGGGCAGGAGGAAATGGGAGGGGTATGAAATTGTGAGGGGTAGTAAATTATTTTCAGGGGAAATAAATGAGCCCAAACAAACAAACAAACAACAACAACAAAAAACAACGACCTAGGACAAAGTTCCTCAGAGCTCTGGGGGAGGTGGTGGGAAAGTGAGGGGTAGAACTTTATTGTGAGCAAAGATTGTTGTCTCATGCAGATAACATCACCTAGGTAATCTCTCAGCTTCCTCCAGAATAGTTGAAATGTTTGTCTGATTTATTACTCAAATCAGTCTCTGTGAACATTTCAGAATCTGAGTTTTTAAAGATAATTTGGTGGGTAAGGGGTTGGGAAGTGGGGAGTGCTGACTGGTCAGGTTGGAGATGGAATTATAGAAGTTGAAGTGAGGTTTTCTTGCTGTCCTCTGTTGGATGGGATGGCAGATCTGGTTAAGCCAGATTAACAGTCTGGGTGGTGTCAGCTTATCCATCAAGTACAGGGTCTGCAAAATATCTCAAGCACTGATCTTAAGTTTTACAATAGTGATGTTACCCCCAGGAGCAATTTGGGGAGGCTCAGACTCTTTGAGCTAGAGGCTGCCTGACTGTCCCTAAACCATAATTTCTAATTTTGTAGCTAATTTGTTAGTCCTGCAAAGGCAGACTGGTCCCCAGTCAAGAAGGAGGTGTTTTGGGGAAAGGGCTATTATCAATTTTGTTTCAGAGTCAAACCATGAGCTGAATTCCTTCCCAAGGTTAGTTCAGCCTACTCCCAGGAATGAACAATGACAGCTTAAATGTTAGAAGCAAGATGGAATTGGTTAGGTCTGATCTCTTTTACTGTCATCATTTTCTCAGTTATAATTTTTGCAAAGGCTGTTTCATGATAATTTTTAGTCTCTTTTCTTCTCCTGTGGTGAATCTTTTCTGGTTATTTCATGAGATTCCTAGTGAGGCTATCTTAAGATAATTTCATTTCTTTTAGAAAAAAATTAATTAAAAAATTTCAGAAATTCCTCCATGAACTCGGGGAAACAAAGAGGATCAGCGAGACTAAGGATAGAGACATCAGAAAGAAACCTTGGATCTGAGGCTTGTTTATGAGGCCTTCTTATTTCAGCTCAAAGTGTTCAGCATGCCAAAGTACCAAACTTTTAGAGTATCGTTTTCCCAGCCCCAACATCATCACAGTATATTCATTCACTCATAACCTTGCTGCATTCTTCACTCTGTCTCTGTCTTGTTCTCTTTCTCCCTTCCCCTCCCTTGGGGGAGTTTCTCCAAGCATTAGAGGAGTGAGGAACACTGGACTAGAAATATAAGACATTTAAAAGATTACTTAAAGAGGAAGCATTCCCTGAATATGGTTTTAAAATCCCGACCAGGCACAGTGGCTCACGTTTGTAATCCCAGCACTTTGGGAGGCCAAGGTGGGTGGATCACCTGAGGTCAGGAGTTTGAGACCAGCCCGGCCAACATGGTGAAACCCCATCTCTACTAAAAACACAAAAAATTAGTGGGCATGGTGGCGCACGCCTGTAATCCCAGCTACTTGAGAGGCTGAGGCAGGAGAATCGCTTGAACACAGTAGGTGGAGGTTGCAGTGAGCTGAGACTGTGCCATTGCACTCCAGCCTGGGCTACAGAGCAAGACTCAATTGAAAAAAAAGAAAAGAAAAAACCCAAGAAAATATTCTGGTAGTCTCTTCTTGTATTAGACACCTAACATTTTGACCAAATTCTGTTGGCAAGATTTTTCAAAAATCTTTGGCCACATGCCCATACTATATTGAGCAGTAAGGTACTATATTTGACAGTCCTATCAGAAATATGTAGACTAGGGGTTCACATAAAAAAGTGGAATTGTTATTAAGAGAATAAGAAATACTCAGTACAAAGCTAGTTCTAAACTGCTGAACAAACAAAGCTTAAGTCTCTTTATGATAGTTGATTTGGTAAATTTCTGCAACATTGTGTTGGTTTCAAGAATATCAAGAGGGAAATTCAAAAACAGACACTACCACTCAACAAAAATTCCCATGTTTTTAATGGAAGACTGTTCAGCATTAGCTGTCAGTATTAGGTATCTTGTGCCTAATAATCATGACTAATAAGAGTGTCTAAAGTTGTGTCTAAAAATGATCAGGGCTCTTGACCTATGAATAGATACATCAGTCAAGCCTACGGGTTTCATTCCCTCTATCTCCTCCTCTGACACTCTAAAGTGTCATTTCTCACACTGGATAACTATAACAACATTTTATGTGAACTGTTTCATATTATGATCTATCTATACAACCTATGTTCCATATCTAATCAAGCATACATATTAATATTTCTTATTTTTTTCATAAAAAGAGGTAGTCACTAAGTTATATTTTTTCACTTTGAAAAAATCAAAGGCATTCAGCATTATTAAGATATGGGAGTTTACTGTAAGATAAAAGTGGAAATTAGGAAAGAGTGGTACATAATCTAAACATATTTGATGAACACAGAAAATAAGATGCACTGGAGCTTTGGTGACATATCATCATGTTGTCTCCTCAGAAATGACACTTACTTTTGCCATTTTTCACTATTTTGACCGTCATATTTGATAATAATCTTTGGATCAGGTAGTCATTCTCCTTCTTGACGATAATATTCATGAGGACAAGGATTCAGTCTTGCACAGCACTCTATATCTCTAATAGCTAGGTAGTCACATGCCCAGTTTTACACTAGAAAAGAGGGATTATAGATAGATATAGAGGAAAATAAATAAGTAGATTATTTTATATAGCTCAGCCTATTCATGAGAAAAAACAACCAGAAGAAAGGGTGGAAAGACGAGCAACAATCAAATTTAAAACTGTTGATCATGCTTATCTGGTCCGTAGTAGATGGCAAATCCCCACACAATATCTTTATTACAGTGGACTTCACTGGGAGCTTTAAATGACAAAGGAGATTCAGCTAAATATATTAAAATTACTGGCTCTGAAAAGAGAATAGGGCAAATAAAAAAACTGGGTAAAATTTTGGGTAAATTATTGGGTAAATTTTTACCCAAATAAGTTGTGATTCTTTTATAAAGCAAAAGACGTTCTTGAGTATGTAGGCTTTCACCTCACTGAGTGATGGTTAATAAATTTGAAAAGACATCAAGTTATATTTTAAGCTAATATATTTTTGAAAGGAGCAAAGAGGCAAGAAAAACAAATAACAGAAGCAGGAAATTTAGCAGATTAATGTTATCAGAGAAAAGATGGAAAACATTGTTGCCAAACATTGCTCATGAATTTTTAAAAAATAATTTAGAGTATCACATCTAGTGTTTCTTTTTCCTAGGACTGCAGTAACAAATTACCATAGACCTAGTGGCTTAAAACAATAGGAATGTATTCACCCACACTTATGGAGGACAGAAGTCTGAAATCAAGACAGTAGCAGAGCCACATTCTCCCTGAAGGCTGCAAAATTCCTCTTTGCCTTTTTATACCTTCTAGTGGCTCCCAACTATCCTGAGTTGTAGTTGCATCACTCAATTATCTGCCTCATCTGCCCACTTCTGACAAGGACACCTGTCAGCCTCATGATGCTCATGCTAAACTGACCTGATACCATCTTAATGACATCTGCAAAGACCTTATTTCTGAATAATGTCACATTCTGAAGTTCTAGGTAGGCATGAATTTGGGGAGCAGGAAGGTGTGGGGGGATATTGAACACACTACAGCTAGTATACAATTGTTCATCAAATTACCACAGCCAAGGGAAAATGAGACAAGAGGAGATGAAATATGGATTGTCAGAATTTGTTTTTAAATCCCAGAAAGTAAGGCTTTTTGAAAGAAGCATAAATAAGCATAACAGACACTGCTGGGAAACAGAAATGGACATAAAATAACAAATTATACCAATAAAATAACACAGAACACTAAAAATTATTGAAGTTTTAAAAACTAACAGAGCAAAATATGATAGAAAGAGTTAACTGGGAGATCCAATGTGTACACATATCAATCAGTAATCCCTTAGATATAGCTAGTATAACAGAAAAAGACAGTCAAAGATAAAATTTAAGACAGATTCTTAAAATAAAATTTTTAAAACTTGAAGTTATCAGTACTCAGAAATTCAGAGAGGAAAAAACCTGTATGTAAGATAACCAACATAAAGAGCTATCCTAACATAAAATCTGACTTAAAAAAAGAAAAGTACAAGTCACCTAAAAGGGAAAAACACAATACCAGTTTCATACTTTTTTACAGGTACATTAGACTCTAGGAGGCAGTAGTACTGAGTGAAAATATGTATGACTAGAATTCTTCCATACTGCCAGATATTTCTGACATAAAAGAACTTTGAAAATTTGTTTGCTGTGAGTCCTGAGTCTTTTTTTGAGTCTTTTTTTTTTATTTTTTTTTTAAGAAACTACAATTAGGTCAACTCTTGTTAACCAGGAGGTAAGTAGAGAAACTTAAGGAATGAAGGGGAATGGAGAAAGTGGACCACTCAGTCTGAGGAAGAGTAGTCATCAGGTAGTAAGAGTACTCAAGTGTTTCTGTGGAGAGACTCAGGGGAAGAGGAACTAGAGCCTCTAACAATGTGCAGTACTAACTTGGCCAAACATCTGTGTGAGCTACCTTGAAAGCCACCTTGAAAGGAGATCCTCCAGCCCCAGTGAAGCCTTCAAAACACTCAGCCCTGGCTGGCTTGTAAGCACAATCTCAAAAAACCCTGGCCAGAAATATCCATTCAAGCTTGTCATGAATTCCTGACATACAGTAACTGTTGGAGTTGTGGGTCTCAGACTAAAACACTTATAGTACTTCTGGTTTGGAAATAGAATGTCAATGTTGTTTATTAACATGTAAATATTATATAATTATACAAATAATATTAGTAAACAGTGAGTAGACATAAAATTCCAGCTATGTGTTAGATCTTTCTCTATTAAGGAGAAAGCCCTCTCCCTCGCCTTCGCCCTCTCCCTCGCCCTCGCCCTCTCCCTCTCCCTCTCCCTCTCCCTCTCCTTCTCCCGTCTCCCTCTTTGCACGGTCTCCCTCTGATGCTGAGCCGAGGCTGGACTGTACTGCCGCCATCTCGATTCACTGCAACCTCCCTGCCTGCTTCTCCTGCCTCAGCCTGCAGAGTGCCTGGGACTGCAGACGCGCGCCGCCACGCCTGACTGGTTTTCGTATTTTTTGGTGGAGACGGCGTTTCACAGTGTTGGCCGGGCTGGTCTCCAGCTCCTGACCACGAGTGATCTGCCAGCCTCGGCCTCCCGAGGTGCCGGGATTGCAGACGGAGTCTCGCTCGCTCAGAGCTCAATGTTGCCCAGGCTGGAGTGCAGTGGCGTGATCTCAGCTCGCTACAACCTCCACCTCCCAGCCGCCTGCCTTGGCCTCCCGAGGTGCCGGGATTGCAGACGGAGTCTCGCTCACTCAGAGCTCAATGTTGCCCAGGCTGGAGTGCAGTGGCGTGATCTCGGCTCGCTACAACCTCCACCTACCTCCCAGCCGCCTGCCTTGGCCTCCCAAAGTGCCGAGATTGCAGCCTCTGCCCGGCTGCCACCCCGTCTAGGAAGTAAGGAGCGTCTCTGCCCGGCTGCCCATGGTCTGGGATGTGGGGAGGGCCTCTGCCCCGCCGCCCCGTCTGAGATGTGAAGAGCGCCTCTGCCCGGCCGCGACCCCGTCTGGGAACTGAGGAGTGTCTCTGCCCCGCCGCCACCCCGTCTGGGAGGTTGGGAGGTGAGGAGCGTCTCTGACCGGCGGCCCCCTCTGGGAAGTGAGGAGCCCCTCCGCCCAGCAGCCGCCCGGTCCGGGAAGTGAGGAGCATCTCCGCCCGGCAGCTGCCATCCGGGAGTGGGGGGCAGCCCCCACCTGGCCAGCTGCCCCGTCCGGGAGGTGGGGGGCACCTCTGCCCGGCTGCCCAGTCTGGGAAGTGAGGAGCCCCTCTGCCCGGCAGCCAACCCGTCTGGGAGGTGTACCCAACAGCTCATTGAGAACCCGCCATGATGATGATGGCGGTTTTGTCGAATAGAAAAGGGGGAAATGTGGGGAAAAGAAAGAGAGATCAGATTGTTACTGTGTCTGTGTAGAAAGAAGTAGACATAGGAGACTCCATTTTGTTCTGTACTAAGAAAAATTCTTCTGCCTTGGGATGCTGTTAATCTATAACCTTACCCCAACCCCGTGCTCTCTGAAACATGTGCTGTGTCCACTAAGGGTTAAATGGATTAAGGGTGGTGCAAGATATGCTTTGTTAAACAGATGCTTGAAGGCAGCATACTCGTTAAGAGTCATCACCACTCCCTAATCTCAAGTACCCAGGGACACAAACACTGTGGAAGGCGGCAGGGCCCTCTGCCTAGGAAAACCGGAGACCTTTGTTGACATGTTTATCTGCTGACCTTCCCTCCACTATTGTCCTATGACCCTGCCAAATCCCCCTCTCCGAGAAACACCCAAGAATGATCAATAAATACTAAAAAAATTAAATAAAAAAAAAAAAGGAGAAAGACTTAATTTTCTGGGGAAGGAGCAAGAACCCCATGGTCATCAATGACTCAGTCGAAGATTGACTGTTTCTTAGACATAGGTAGAAGTAAAAGGTATCTTTCTTTGAGAGAGAAGCAAGAAGCATTTGTGGACACAGTGTCCAGTAGTGATATGCATGAGAGGTGTGCTAACACTGGAAGTGAAAAAGGATCTAATCATTTTCCCAGGACTTTTTAAAGATGTAAGGCACATTTTTTGCTTACATGTGGGAGGATTCACTGAGAAGGCCTCATCCCTGAGGCCTAGGCACAAAGTGGTATCTAAGACTGAAAAAGGACTAAGAGACTGAACTCTTCCTCCACTCAGTGTTACAAATAATGAGGGACTCTGACATATCTGAGAAATAATAATACAATTATTATTATTTACAAAACAATAAAAATTACACAATCTTTCCAGAATTTTTCTACACAGTAAAACAGGCCACCAAAAGAAACCTATATAAATAAAAAACATTGCAAATGACATACATTAGCATTTGCTGATCCAATTGCAGAAACCTGGCCTGTAAGGTTTCAGCAATGAATGAGCAATTGAAAGTTGAAAATTCAAATTACAATACCATTTATTTTATCACCCCCTAACATTAAATATTTAAGTAGAAATCTAACAAAATCTGTACAAGGTCTATATAAGGAAAACTACAGACTTTGATGAAAGAGGTAAAGAAGACTAAATAACTGAAGAGATACTCCATGTTCATAAAGGCTAAACATTAAGAAGTCAACTCTTCTAACTTGTTCTATATGTTAAATGCAATACCAACTGACATCCCAGCAAGTTATTTTGCAGATATTCATAACTGATTCTAAAGTTTATACGAAAAGACAAAAGTCACAGATTAGTCAAAACAAAACTGAGAAGGACAAACTCAGAGGACTTACATCACCTAACTTCAAGATATATTATAAAATTGTAGACTTCAGTAATCAAGCTAGTATATTGATGAAAAAGTAGACAAATTGACCAAGTGAACAGAATAGATAACTCAGAAAGAGCCTCACTCAAATATAGTTAACTAATACATGATGAGGAGGGAGCAAAGGCATTTCAACAGAGAATTCATAATCTGTCTAGCAAATGCTTCTGGAACAATTGGATATCCATATGCAAAAAGAAAAAATATTCAAACACAGACCTTACACCTCTGACAAAAATTAACTCAAAATTACGTAAACACAAAGTGCAAAACTATAAAATATCTACAGACCTTTAAAAAAGAGTGTACCTAAGTGATCTTGGGTTTGGCAATGAGTTTTTAGATTTCACATTAAAGATAAGATTAATAAAAGGAGAAAATGGTAATTTAGACTTTATAAAATCACAAGTTTCTATGCAAAACATTGTTAAAAGAATAAGGAAGGAAGTCATGGACTTGGAGAACAATGTTTACAAAAATATATTTGATAATTTATATCTAAAATATAAAAAGAACCTAATAATAGGAAAGCAAACAACATAATTTTTTAAATGGGCAAGATATCTAAACAAACACCTTGTCAAACAGGATAAACAGTGGTGAACAAGCATATGAGAATATGCTGTACTGCATTTGTCATTGGCAATTGCAAATTAAAACAATAATGCACACACCTATTAGAATGGTTAAAATCCAAAAAAATGCCTGACAATACGAAATGCTGATGAGCATGAGGAGAAACATGAATTTATTGCTAATGGAAGAGAAAATGGTACAGCCACTTTGGAAGACAGTTTACCAATTTACTACAAATGTACCATACCAATGCAAGATGGTAATAATAAAACAAACTATATGTGCAAGGGATAAGGAGTGAGTATATGAAAGTCCATACTATCTGTTCAATTTTTATGTAAAACATCCCTTATAAAAATGAAAACCATGAATTTAAAAAAGTAAAAAATTGACATTGAAAATAATACATTAAATGGTAGAATTAAAAATAATTTTAAGTTATCTTTTATGACAAAAGGTGAAAGAGATAAACTATGAATTATATATATCAAGAAATGAAGGAAGTGCAAATGTACAAAATAAGTAATGATATGACGTAAATGATCATACAGATGTTTTGTGGAAGATTTCATAAGAACTAGGAGCATTCCCTATATTCAGCTCTACTAAAGTGTTTGAAAACTTGAATGGACAAATTATTTGGAAAAAAAAGTAACCTATGTTTAAACACAAAATACACACAAATCTATGAAGAAAAAGCCATAAAATGAATGAAGAAACATTTAAAAGAATTATCTCCACCCACCGGGCGCGGTGTCTCACGCCTATAATCCCAGCACGTTCGGAGGCCGAGGCGGGCGGATCATGAGGTCAGGAAATCAAGACCATCCTGGCTAACACGGTGAAACCCCATCTCTACTAAAAATACAAAAAATTAGCGGGGCATGGTGGCGAGACCTGTAGTCCCAGCTACTCGGAAGGCTGAGGCAGGAGAATGGCGCGAACCCAGGAGGCGGAGCTTGCAGTGAGCCAAGATCCCGCCATTGCACTTCTGCCTAGGCGACAGAGCGAGACTCCGTCTCAAAAAAAAAAAAAAAAAAAAAAATTAAAATAAGTTAAAAAATAAAAAAAGAATTATCTCCAACAAAATATTCATCTCATATAATTTCAAAGTTATGCTATCATATATTTTAGGAAGAGGTAAATCCAGTACTATTCAAATAACAGCAGCAGAGAGAAAAGAAGGAGGAATTCCAATTCAATCCACTAAGCAAGCAGAACCCTCAACTTTTTAAATCTTTCTCTCACAAACACAAATACGAAAAAATAGAATTTGTAGGGAAATATCAGTTATGATAAAAGATGCAAATTCCTAAATCAAATGTTCACAGGCATAATCCAACAGTATATTCAAATATATTTTCATGTATGTATATATGTGTGTGAGTGTGTGTGTGTGTCTACTATGAATATATTTATCTTTTAATGAACTTATTTACTTACCTGTCTACCCATATCTTTATCCGTCTAGCTCTGCTCAAGAGCCAGTATTGTGCTTAATTGTAGCATATATGGTACATCAAATTAATATTAGGAAGAAAAAAATCTGTATCATTTTACAATTATCTAATATTTGAGGAAGTAGCTGGCATAATCAAAGAGAAAAACAGATTTGTGCTAATTAGGAGAAAGTAAATATTACCAAAGTTTCATATACTTTTGGGTGGGACACCACATCAATATCCTTCCAAAATAAAGAATCAGATAAAGAATAAAATGGCAAAAAGCATCACATTTATTATTGGAAGGAATATATAACACTAGCACTAAATACAAGAAATATTCAATATATCTTTATAAAGAAATGTTTAAAACAGTACTGAAAATACACTTAAATAAATAGAAAATAGAGCATGACACCTACCTCATGGTTTATTCAAAAATTAATTTCTCATTGATTTAAAATTCAAATTTAAAATAGAATCCTAAAAAAATGCAAAAGAAAACTTGGTAGGTATCATTTATAATGTCTTTATGAGGAATGACATTCTAAACATAAATAAATAAATGAATAAACAGGAAGCCTTAAAATAAATTTATGACTTAAAAGCCAACAAGATAAAATTAAATAATAAATGACAAAATTGGAAAAATATTTGCATACCATATTTTAGACAAAGATATAATTTATGTCAATTGTCTTCAGATCAAGCAGAAACATTAAAAAAAAACAGTATATCATTAAACCTACAATAAGATGTCATTTTCTGCCAATCAGATTGAAAAAGTTTTAAACATTTTGATAAGTCATTATTCATGGAGGTTAATGAATATAAGGCCTCAGATAATAGACTAGCCACTCTCTGAAACATTATCAGTTGCTTTGTTAGAGAGAAAAGAGATCTCTAGAGTGGTTCACCTTTGTAAGCTCCAACCACCTGTAACTTAGTGATGAGAAATAATATACTGCCCTGTCTAGTCACAGAAGGTCCAAGAAATTAAATCCTATGAGTTGTTCAGAAAAGGGCAAGGTGAAAACACAGACCGTTTCTCCTCCACTGTCACCCCACAATCAACATAAAAGACTTGTCACCAAATGTGTGTGATTTTTTTCTCCACACACAAAGCAAGCATTCAATTCTGCAGCTGGGGGTCCTCTAACTCAGTTCCAGCACTGTCTAACTGGAGATGGCATCAGAACTCACAGGTTGAAGGCTCACTCCTGCAAGACTCTCCCGCCACCCCTGCCTTTCAATGCCAATTGCAAGCCTGGGGTTGTTTCATCTGTGGTTTTGACTGGCTATAAATTGGGATTCCTGCCATGCCCTCCTTGGGTTCAATTAATTTGCTAGAGTGGCCCGCAAAACTCAGGGAGACACTTAAGTTAGTAAATTATTTATTTTAGTAAATAGTTTATTGTCACCAGTTTATTTAGAAAGAAAATGGTCTATTATAAAGGATAGTACAAAGAATACAGAGGAAGAGATGGATAGTGCAAGGTACAGGGGAAGGGGCTTGGGAGCTCTCATAACCTTCCCAGGTGTGCCAGCCCCAGGAACCTCCATGTGTTCCACTATCTGGAAGATCTCCAAACCCAATCCTTTGGGGTTTTTGTGGAGGCTTCATTATGTAGGCATGACTAAGTAAACCATTGGCCATTGGTTATCAACTTAACGTCAGTCCCTCTCCCGTCCCATCCACGTTGGTGGCTGGGCTGAAAGTCTCAAACCTCTAATCCTACTTTGGTCTTTCCAGTGACCAGTTCTCAAACCTCTAATCCTGCTTTAGTCTTTCCAGTAACCAGCCACCCCCACCATCCTGAAGCTATCTAGGGGTCATCAACCATTAATCACTTTGGAAATTCCAAGGATTTTAAGAATTGTATGCCAGAAAATGGGAAAGGACAAGACCAAATATGTATTTCCCAGTATCACAGGAGTAAATCACAGGAACATGTGGAAAACAGCACCAATCATTACCACATACTGCCTTTAGTCATTAAATATTCAATAAACATTCTTTCTTCCACATAAAATACCCTCCAACACCTCCCCAAACACATTTTTTTAAACTTCCTTTAGACACAATATTAAAGTGGTGAAATACATTTTTTACTTAAGTACTGTATGAATCTAACAAATAGAGCAGATATGTAGAAAGTAAACAGGTTCAGTAGCCTCTATAAAAAGTAAATGGTTAATAGCCCGAATCAAGAGTTTTAGTGTTTAGAGTGCAGCTTTTGAGGATTGTATATTTGTGATGATGGATGGAGATACAGCATTTGATTCACTCTAATATGCACATGTTCATATTGCTGGCCAATTATTCTTTGAGATCAAAAAAACCTTGCAATATATGAACACATTAAAAATATTAATACAATATTTCTGTGTAATTAGGTAAATTATTTAATGTGAGGCAGATTAATACTTTTTCAAACCATGTCTGAGATCTTTATGTTATTTCTTTGATGAAATAGTTAACATTTTAGAAACATCTTTACCTAACTGGGAAAGAAAAACCCCAATAGTATACATCCATGACAAAGGATCTAAAAGCAAAAAAAAATCCAGAGAGAAATTTTGCATTTAACTGATTGTTCAGCTGTTATATATAAGTCATTATAAATGTCTTCTTAATGTTGCAAACTTTCACAATGAAATTTCAGTTATTTTCATTATTTGAAAAGTTATTTATATCCTCTGTGATATCACGCATATAAAAAAGTCATTGTTGAAATTACATATATAAAATGTGTTATATGTAACATTACATAATATATGTATATATAATATATAATGTATAATGTCATATACATTTATAATATATAATATTTATATATAATATATGTTTATGTGTTTTATATATAAATATTGTATATATAATGTTTTATATAACATATAATATATTATATATGTTATATATAATTTATATATTATATATGTTATATATAATTTATATATTATATATGTTATATAATGTTTTATATATAAATATCATAAATATAAAATATATGTGATGTTTATATATATTTGTGTGTGCATGCGTAGACACACATATGCACACATATTTGTTGGTCATTAACATTTAGCAATGCTGCATTTTTCACTCGGTAGTACTCTAAAATTAAACGTACCACTAATATGTTGTTTATACCTTGTTTTTTATACCTTGTTTCTTCTACAACTGAATTTAAAACACGGCTGATATATGAGTATAAAAATAAGTTTTTCAGGTGTTGTATTTTTAATTGTTTCTGCTCACAAGTTTTAAGACTACACATACTTCACCATTAATGTAAACATTCTGTCACTATGTCATGAGCTGATTTGTTTTGTCTCTCTATTCACATTTAAATGAAATGTGTTTTGAAGGATGAAATCTAACATAATGAAACTATCCAAGGTAAAATTACTGAAGTAGCGAAAAAAATGCATAGAATATATCAAATAGCTCAAAGTTCTAGAATGTGAAATTAATGCTGATGATATACTGTGCAATGTGCTTATAGAATCTTTATTATTGTTATCTGTATTCTAGAGGTTCTCTTGGGATTATCTTTTCTTGCTCATGGAATTTTGTTGACACATTAGATGTCAGCTTCTAAAAAATTTATGGATGGAACAGAAGGGAGTTTCTTCTTAAAGTTTTATATGCCCAAATTTTCTTCTCCTGATGTGGCATCTGGGATTATCCTTGGATCACACACCAGGATTTTTGCCAGAATACATTTAAAGAGAAAATGAAGAAAGGATGAGAAATAAGAAAGTTTGACATGGTTGGCAAATCTTTAAGTTTTTTAAATTAACAATGGTTTTATTAGAGAAGTCTAAGTAATTTTATGATTTTAGCATAAGCATATATTGATATTTTACATATTTAATTTTACATAATTAACACACATATTGGGGTATTTTCTATTTCTCAATTCAACTATGACCATGATAGTGCTTTGCATATAGTGATTTAAAGCTAATTCAATGTATCTGAGCCACAGTATTGGGGAGAACATTTCTTATGCTCACCATATGTCAATGATTCAGCCTACCCAGGGGACAGAAATAGTCCAACTATCTCCCTACTCTCGCTCTTCTCTGTCTTCACCCTCCCCCTTTTTTGTTTAAATCTCTCACTTGTGAGGCATGATTAAGTTAGTAGAATCAAGTTCAAAATTCACCATGCCACATTTCACTAGATGGAAGGGTCATTGTATGGACTGTTGATGTTTTTGACATTTTCTGTTTTACAACTAGATGATGAGGTCCTTAAATGCTTGTGCACAGGCCTGGGTCAGCATGATGAACATAATGTATACGCACAGACACAGTATTTCTGACAGGGGAAAGGATCATTAATGGAGAGTAGAAAGCCCTGTTTAGAATTTCAGAGAGAAATCTTTTAAGTGTGGGAAAAATTCACCGTATGTATTAAATATTTTACTCACTAACTATGTAAATGAAAGAATAACTTCTTCATATTATCCAGGAATAAATTATCTTTACATTAGCAAGAATCACTAGTAGGGAAAAATAGATTCCACTTTAGTTCAACAGAGGCCTACATGAAACTTAATAGCTCTGCATTGAAAATGTGTCTAGTGTTTCTGCCTATCAACTGACATTGTAGCTTAATTTAAAAGTCAATAAGAAATGAAAACGAAAATATAACACCTTTTCAAGGAGAATGCTTCATTTGCTCAAGAATAAGTTATTGCACCTGCATTGTTAACACGGTCACTGCACAAGTCTATGGGCTTATTTAAAACATTCTTTAGAAAGGGGGCATATGATGCTCTGAATAATCAGAAACTAGTCCCACATTTAAATCTTTAATTTACCTAATTTACCTTGAGTTAATTTTTGTATATATGAATAGTCAGGATCTAGTTTGATTCTTTTACTTATGGCTAGTTAGTTACCCGAGCACCATTTGTTGAATAGGGAGGGCTTTCCTCATTGCTTGCTTTGCTCAGCCGTGTCAAAGGTCAGAAAGCTGTAGGTGTGCAGCTTTATTTCTGAGTTTTTTATTGTTTTCCATTGGTCTATGTGTCTGTTTGATACCAGTATCATGCTGTTTTGGTTATTCTACCTAATAGTATAGTTTGAAGTTGGATAGTGTGATGCTTCCAGTTTTGTTCTTGTTGCTTAGGATTGCTTTGGCTATTTGGGCTCTTTTTTTGTTTTATATGAATTTTAGAATAAATTTTTCTAATTTGGCTAAGAATGATATTGGTAGTTTGATAGGAATAAAGTAGAATCTGTAAATTGCTTTGGGCCATATAGCTATTTTAATGATATTGATTCTTCCAATCCATGAGCATGGAATGTCTTTTCATTTATTTGTGTTTTCTCTGATTTATTTCAGTGTATATCTTTAGGAAAGTTAAGGCTTCTGTTGAATTGTACCCTTTATTAGTATGTAATGCTCTTCATTGTCCTATTTTTATTGCTTTAAAGTTTGTTTTATCTGATGTAAGAATAGTGATTCTTGTTCTTTTTTCTGTTTGCATGGTAGATATTTCTTCATCATTTTACTTTGAGCCTGTGGGTGTTGTTACATGTGAGATGGGTCTTGAAGACAACAGATGGTTGGGTCTTGTCTTTAGATACAGGCTTCCATTCCATGTCTTTTAAGTGCCAGGTTTAGCTCATTTGCATTCAAAGTTACTATTGATATGTGTGATTTTCATCCTGTCATCAGGTTGTTAGCTGGCTATTATGTAGGCTTGATTGAATAGTTGCTTTAAGTGCCTGTGGGCTGTGTACATAAATATGTTTTTGTGGTAACAGGTGTCATTCTTTTGACTCTGTATTTAGCACTTATTTAAAGACCTCTTATAAAGGTGATTTTTAAAGCCATTTGACAATTTTGTGAGGGTTAGTTGGATTACAATTAGTAACAATAATCATTAAATGTACTTTCCCAGGCACAGATATATGAAATATTACAATGCTCCATAGGCAAATGGAAAAGTGAGGATGCTTCAGATTGCGGAATTTGCATGCAGGGCCCCTGTGAATTGTGAAATGTGATGAGTGGTCACCTAAAGCAAATAAGGGCACTGGTGGCAGATCATATATAAAATATTAGTACAACTCAATCTTTGGTTAATTTTCAGCTGAGATTTACACAAATAGGAGTTCTAATATTTTTCCCAGAACTCAAAGAATTATTTCATGCATACACAGAAGTCCATGAGGCTGAGGGCTGCTGCAGGTACAGCCAAGTTCAGGACAGCAGTATAAAGTAGATCTTATATAGGTGATTTACAGACCTCTTATACAGGTGTATTACCACAGCTTTTACCTGTCTGAGAAGGATTTTATTTCTCCTTCACTTATAAAGCTCAAACTATAAGCATCCTACCAAAAAAAAAAAACCCCTAGAAAGTATCATTATTGACATCATCAGCATAGCAAAGAATTTATGGCCAAGTCCTCAAAACAATTGCAACAAAAGCAAAAACTGAGTACTAATTAAACAAAAGAGCTTCTCCACAGCAATAGAAACCATCAACAGAGTAAACAGACAACCTATAAAATGGGAAAAAATATTTACAAACTATGCATCTGACAGAGGTCTAATACCCAGATTCTACAAGGAAGTTGAACAACAGGCAAAAAAGAAAAACAAAAACAAAACCCATTAATAAGTGGGCAAAAGACATGAACAGACACTTTGAAAAGAAGACACACAAGCAGCCAACAAAGACATGAAAAAAAAATGCTCATCATCATTAATCATCAGATAAATGCAAATCAAAACTACAATGACTTATCTCACACCAATCAGAGTGGCAATAATTAAAAAGCAAAAAAAAATAACAGATGCTAGTGAGGCTGCAGAGAAATAAGAATGTTTATACACTAGTGGTGGGAATGTCTATTAGTTCAGCCACTACAGAAACAGTTTGGAGATTTCTAAAAGAACTTAACACAGAGCTACCATTTGACCCAGTAGTCACATTACTGGGTATATACCCAAAGAAATATAGATTGTTATACCAAAATGACACCTACACTCATATGCTCATCACAACACTATTCACAATAGCAAAAACATGGAATCCACCTAGGTGCCAGTCAATAGTTATGAAATGGATTTAAAAAAATGTGGTAAATGTACACCATGGAATACTACGCAGCCATAGAAAAGCATAAAATTATGTCCTTTGCAGTCAGATGGATGGAGCTGGAGGCCTTAATCCTAAGCAAATTGTTTCAGGAACAAAAAAATCAAATACTGTGTGTTTTTATTTAAAAGTGGGAACTAAACATTGAGAACACATGGACATAAACTTGGGAACAATAGACACTGTGCACAACTAGTAGGGGAAGGAGGAAAATGTGAGTTTTGAAAAACTTCCTACTGGGTACTATGTTTACTACCTGGGTCCAGTATAACCATGTGAGAAATCTATACCTATACTCCCTGTTTCTAAAATAAACCTGAAATTTGAAAAAAAAATAATAAACTCAATTAAATGAAATAAAAAAATTAGTCCTAATTTTGAGACTTTTTCTATAAGAGACAGGTAATTTAGAAAAATGTGTACTGTGTGTGATCTATAAAATTTCAGAAAAAGATTGATAACCTAAAGCAAATATTAAAAATGAGAGACAAAGACAAAAAAAGAAGTTAATTGAAAAGCAGAGAAAATTTGAAGGAAAAGTTGTAGGACGACTGAAATGAATGACTCATATCAATGCCTACAAGAATATTGACACTGGAGAAGAATTTACCAGTGATATAAATGACGATTTTCCAAACCTATTTCTAAATGAAGAATGACAGAATAATGAAAGGTGAAGATATTTTATGCAACATTATCTGGGCTCCCAGCTCACATTCAGAGTGAGATGAAAGAAGGCAATAACTAGTAAGGATGGAAGAAAATGTTCTTGGGAGTAATAAAGACAATTCTAAACATATAGATATTAGAGTAGAGATAAAATAATTTTTTATAAAACGTCCATTTTTATGGTGTATATGTGCCACATTTTCCTTATCCAGTCTGTCATTGATGGGCATTTAGGTTGGTTCCAAGTCTTTGCTATTGTGAGTAGTGCAGCAATAAACATAGGGGTGCATGTATCTTTATAGTAGAAGGATTTATAATCCTTCAGGTACATATCCAGTAATGGGATTGCTGGGTCAAATTGTATTTCTGGTTCTGGATCCTCGAGGAATTGTTACACTGTCTTCCACAATGGTTGAACTAATTTACACTCCCACCAACAGTGTAAAAGCATTCCTATTTCTCCACAGCCTCGCCAGCATCTGTTGTTTCCTGACTTTCTAATAATTGCCATTCCGATTGGCATGAGATGGTATCTCATTGTGGTTTTGATTTACATATCTCTAATGGCCAGAGATGTTGAGCTTTTTTTCATACGTTTGTTGGCCGCATAAATGTCTTCTTTTGAGAAGTGTCTGTTCATATCCTTTGCCCACTTTGTGATGGGGTTGTTTTTTTCTTGTAAATTTGTTTAAGTTCCTTTGCACTTTCTATTATATGTAGTTCTTTTAAAAAGCTGTGTTTTTTTTTTCTCAGTCATTGTCAGAACTTCCTTTCTGTGTTGAAGGGAAGTTTAGGCTTATATTTTTGCTTTTATATTTTCTAGATAGTAGTCTACTGATAACCACTAGATATTAGTAACTCGAAAAATTCAGAAAATTTGAAAAACTTTTCTTTATATAAAATGAAAATGAGGAGTATCCTTATGTTTAACCACTCTTTTAAGTATTTTGCCTTGAAATATTCAGTATATCTTTACATGATACAAGTGTCACTGATAGTCCTTTTTCATTGTTACATTTCTGTAAATATTTTACTATGTTTGAATATCTTGATTTTGACAAGTCAACCACATTGAGGACATTCTGAAGTTTTCTTTAGCTCCTTATTAGAATAGTCTCTGTGAAGAATGCTGTGCTTTCATTTAGACTAGAAGATAATTCATAATTGAAATGATCTTTACCATTTCAGAATAGTTTAAAAATTATAGGTGTAGCAGTTTAGGTCATTAGTTTACTTTGCTACTGTAATGTAGCTGTTGGAAAGCATGTACTAGGGTAAGGATAGATAGTAGATTAGCTGATTCATTTTTGTTTTCTGTAATCGTTTTTTTAAAAAAAGAATTTTTAAAGCCATTTGACCATTTTGTGAGAGTTAGTTGGATTACAATTAGTAAAAATAATTCTTAAAAGTATTTCCCTAGGCACAGATATATGGGATATTACAATGCTCCATAGGCAAATGGAAAAGTGAGGATGCTTCACATTGTGGAACATGCATGCAGGGACCCCTGCGAATTGTGATATGTGATGATTGGCCACCTAAAGCAAATGAGGGCACTGGTGGCAGGTCATATATAAAATATTAGTACGACTCAATTTTTGGTTAATTTTCTTACATAAGTAGGAGTTCTAATATGTTTTCCCAGAACTCAAGGAACTATTTCATGCAACACAGAAGTCCATGAGACTGAGGGCTGCTGCAGGTACAGCCCAGTTTAGGACAGCAGTATAAAGTAGAGGTTCCAATCTCCACATACAATTGCTTAGACTCTAATCCTGGCTCAACAAGTATTCATTGTACCTTTATTTCCTCAATTTAAAATGTTTTTATTTGGTAAAACCTAACATACTCATTAAATTTGTAAGAAGTATTACCTCCTTTCACAGAAGAGGAACACAGGCCCCAAGATGCTACATAATTGCACAAGATCACACAGCAAGCATCAGGCATGGAATTTGAGTCAAATCAATGTGGTTTCTCAAAGTTGCCTCTCAAAATTCAGATCATACGAATATTTATCTCACAGGTATATTGTGAGAATCCAATGACACGTGAAGCATTTAGAACAGAGTTTGGCTCACACTCAGCACTCATTGCACGTTAGTTATTATAACAGACATCTTATTACCATGTGGTTGTGACTACCTGTGGTGCAGGAGATGAGAAGTAAGAAGTGGAACAAGAGACTGAGGAAAAACTTGAAAGTACCCAAAAGGTATTAGCTATCTTATTTCTAATCACTCTTGGGTTCTGGCTGCTTCCCTGCCTTTTCTGTGGTTTGTGTCTTCATTCTTAGTAAAGGCTATTCTTAGATTAGAGGCATGACAGTTTTAAATCTGTATCTCATTTGCCTTTCTTTACATTTTCTATAATGACCCTGTGTTACTAATTTTATATGATGAAATGCTTAAAGAGTGAAAGAGAAAAATAAGAGAAGTAAAAAGAAATAGAAGAATAGGAGGCTGGGCACGGTGGCTCACGCCTGTAATCCCAGCACTTTGGGAGGCCAAGGTGGGCGGATCACAAGGTCAGGAAATGGAGACCATCCTGGCTAACACGGTGAAACCCCGTCTCTACTAAAAATACCAAAAATTAGCCAGGCAAGGTGGTGGGCACCTGTAGTCCCAGCTACTCGGGAAGCTGAGGCAGGAGAATGGCGTGAACCCGGGAGGTGGAGCTTGCAGTGACCTGAGATCACGCCACTGCACTCCAGCCTGGGTGACAGAGCGAGACTCCGTCTTGAAAAAATAAAAAAAATTAAAAAGGAGAAAAGGGAAGAAAGGAAGGAAGCAAGTTCAATTCACTTCTAATTACAATGTGAAATTTTGCAGGATGTAAACAAGCCGTAATTATTCAGCATGAAAAGCATTAGGATATAAAATTTAAAAGGGCAATTTTTCTAATGCCACATATCGAGACATTTTTATTTAATCAAATATTTGGAAACATAGAAATATTATATGAAAGACTGCTGCCAAAAACCAGCCAAAACATTTGGATCTTTCATTATATGTGTGTATACATATGTGAGTATGTGTTTGGCAGTGTTTCACTTTTCAAAGGTTTTGACATTTTGTACCCACATTTTGAAAGATTAAAAGTAGGATCTTCATCCCATAATGGAAACAACCATAACTGTATCACATGGAAAATCCCCACGCAGCTCACCTACTTGCTCAGGACATCTGTTACTTCATAAATTAGATAAATCATTAGCATAAGCATTACTGAAGGCAAATCAAAGCAGATTATAAAAGATTGTTCTAGTTTAAACTCCTTCACTTTACCTACAGACATTTGACTTAAGGTGTCCTTAGTAAAAACCAGTCTCACTATTCTCAAATACCAACACTTAGAAAAAAGATGGTTGGTAACAGGCAAAATAACTTGACATCAGTTCCATTGTGAGTGATACTGGTTGGCTTTATACCAGTGGGAAACCCTTACATATTGGCATTTAATTTTTTTTTCCTAATACTGAATATTTTCTAAATGGTTGAAAAGAAATATAATTTAAGAGGACAGTCTCTCAGAAAATGGCTAAGGAGAAACCACAGTTAATATGTGTTCACTCTTCATTGGTGCAGAAAAATGTCAATATTTGGATGAAGAATCAAGTTATAAGGAATTTTTCTGTTATTTCAAAATTAAATAATTCTTTGTTTGTTTGTTTTTGAGATGGAATCTGGCTCTGTCACCCAGGTGGGAGTGCAGTGGCTGGATCTCTCAGTTCACTGCAACCTCCGCCTCCCGGGTTCAAGTGATTCTCCTGCCTCAGCCACCATACCTGGCTAATTTTTGTATTTTTAGTAGAGACGGGGTTTCACCACATTGGCCAGACTGGTCTCTAACTCCTGACCTCAAGTTGTCCACCTGCCTTGGCCTCCCAAAGTGCACGAAAGTGACCCACCAGGCCTGGCCTCGATGATGCATTAATTTTGATATTTCATGCAGTTTAGTCCCTGAAAACTTCTGTTATCTGATTATGAATATTTAGCATTAAAGAAAAATAGAAATATCTACCGTTAGATTTTGGGGGGAGGATAAAGTAAAATATACGTGAAACATCTAAACAATGCCTTGTACATAGTAGGCACTTAATAAATTATATCAAGAGCATTAATAATATTATCCTCACTATTATTAATTTTATAGCACATCTAGCACTATCATTCATTTTCTAGCAACCTACACCAAAATCAAAAGTAATGACTTCTAATCATTCTAATTTGCATTATCTTACAACATCAGCAAACCGATATGGCATAACATGGTATGCCAACAACTAATTTTTTAAAACCAAACAACAGCTTTGGCAGTATAAAGCTACAGGGTGAGATAGAAAGAAAATTTTTTTGTGTGCATTATCTGGATTTATATTTATATTGTCCCTTTTCAGATAGCGGTAGCATTTGATACATTGAAGATATTAAATATCATTTCTTAAAATACGGTGACAGATACATTCTGAACTCAGTTATAGGTATCTTTGCTACTTAAGTTACTTCATTACAGCAGTGACAGATTACCTCATAAGGCAATTTATTGAAAACTTTAAACAGTCTTGCCCATCACATTTAATGATACCAAAAGAATCTGGTATGATTAGTAGTGATATAATGAATATCACATGAATTAATAATATTTGGACACTTCTTGAAGTTTTAATGGCTCCATCTGTCTCTTAGTTCATTTGAAATAATTAATACTTGTCTTGCTTTTCCAGTGACAGTAATTCATACACTCTAGCCTCCAATGGTTATATGCATCCCTGAACATGGTACCAACTATATGAATTAAGAGAGGTTGTAGAGATTGAATCCTACATTTCTAACTACCATAAAAAGAGACAGCCCCACATATGCCAGGTAGATTCTTATTTACAAAATTCAGCTTCAGGGTGGCAGGAAGGCAGAGAGAAGGAAATCAATGCAATACATGTGACAAGCATGTAACTATTACTGCAGTAAAGAAAACAAAGTCAAATAAATTCTTTTTCATGTGTTATTTGCATTTCAAGTTCTCAAAATATTTTGCAGACTGGCAAATATTTACAGAATGCAATGGTTAGTCAATTGTCTACTATCTGACATTTTCTTTTTTGTCTTTGTATTTTGTTTTACTTGTTTACGGTTACCTAAAGCACAATGCTTACTTGAAAACTAACTATAAATGTAAGTCCCAAACTAAAGAGAACATTCCAAGAAAATATTTTTAAAATATACATTAATAGAAAAACTGTTAGGAAAGTTAAAAGAAGAATTATAAAATCTGAAGCTCAACTTTGTTTCAATTGGCACTAGAACAACTACACAGGATATTACAATATAAATTAGGAAAAGTATTTAGAACCCAAGAGAAGTTATAACTGCATAACTGCACTGTACAGAGCCTTAGTAGCCTGTTCCAGATGTCAAAGCAGATATTGTGCAGAAAATTGCTGACCTGATATCTGAAATACAGACTTTATTGATTGCAAAGAATGTGAGATGTCTGGCATGTTTGTTTTTCATATCAAGGGATTCATACTAACAGAGCTGTCATTTTCAGAAAAACTAATTGAGACACCGTCAGTAATTGACTTTTTAATGCACATTAAAATGTTTAATAAATATTAATTTAAAATGACAAATTTTATAATTAGATCTTAAGTTGAAACAAAATAATATTTGAGGGCATATACAGATAGAGAATTTTGAATATTTATTACTGGTCAATCATGCAGGTGAAAATATAACACACAGAGAATAATTTTTTCTTTCCTAATACCTTTAATGAAAAGGCAAATAATTTTGCTTGCAATATACATTTTTAAAATGCAGACATGTTCACAAACTGAATAAGTAGAATCATGAAGAGATTATTAAAGGATACTTGAATTATAAAATACTACATAATTGACTAATAAATCTTATGACTAGTTGAAAAATTTGGTAGGAGCACAATTAAAAGTATATGCAGTCAGCACTTCATATCTGCTCTTTGCACAACCATGGATTGAACAAACTATGGATTAAAATATTCAGAAAAAAACTGAAAGGTTGTGTCTGTACTGAGCAGGTATAGACTTTTTTCTTGTTATTCCCTAAATAATACATTATAAGAACTATTTGCATAGCATTTACATTATGTTAAGTATTTCAGATAATCTAGAGACAATTTAAAGTATGTGGGAGTATGTGCCTCAGTTGTATGCAAATTTTATTTCAAGGACTTGAGCATTTGAGGATTTTGGTATCCAGGGGAGGGCTTACAACTAATCCCCATGAACACCAAGAAAGGACTTTATAACTGATCAAATTTCAAATGTTAAAAAAAAATGGTTGCTAAATAACAATAATGGTCAGTACATAGCAAACACACCACTTGTAAAGACTACAATGTAGAATTAACATTAATTTTATATTAGTGAATTATTTAATTTGTTCATGGGCATATGAAGTATTTATTGTGTGTAAAATTTATACACAGGCTATGGAAAGATTATAGGATCTTCTCTTTCCTTACAAAAACCCAGTTCCTGTCTTAGTTGTTTCTGAGTTTACATTTTTAAAAAGCAAACTGTTTAAATCAAATTGTCACCTTTGAAGGCACACTGGCATGAATAATAATGCTATTGTTATTATTATTATTATTTTACTCTCTAAAATTATTTTAAAAGAAATTATTCTCACTTCTTTTTCCATGTAATGAGGTATAACGAATTTGAGAGTAATTCTATTTGTACAGTGGTCATTATTAAAGAAGAAGGAAGCAACCTGTAAGGAGGAATGTAAATTTTATAAATTACATGTGTCAAAAATTTGTCATACAATGTCCAAATGGCAAATAAAAAAGATTAGTGTGATTTTTTTTTTTTTTTTTGAAATTTACAAAATCTATGAAAAACATTCTAGAAAGTGGTCAGGTTTCAAGACATGAATAATCAATCTATGAAAAGCAGATATTTTTGAAGTCAGCAGGAAAAAGGATATGTAAGAAAATATATGCTAATAAAAATCTTTAAAAAATAAACCTATTTCTGGCAGTCCCTAGGGACTGTGGCCACAGGGGTGCTTGTGTCACTTTAACCTAGCTCCACGTGGCTCAGAACAAAGAGACAGACTCCATTTCTTTGGGATAAGTTAAGGAAAGAGAACAAAAGTCACTGTCCGGTAATCCAAAGAATTCTTCCTAATCTTGTCCAAGGCCATCAAAGTAGCACATCTATGAATCTACAGGAACCACATTATTATTGGGCTTGTGGTCCCCTCTAAAACAGTTACAGCTTAGATGACAGGACCCAAGTTCTTTTGCATATCTGAAAAGCCTTCCTAAGAAGGACAGGTCCAAACAAACCTGACTGCAGGATTACAAAATGATTAGACACAGACAAACATCTACAAATGTCAAGACAATCCAAGAAAACATGAACAAAAATGGACAAATGGGATTATATCAAGTTGTTAAGAAGCTTCTGCACAGGAAAGAAAACAATCAAATAAGTGAAGAGACAACCTAAAGAATGGGAGAAATTATTTGCAAACTACATATCTGACAAGAGGTTAATAACCAGAATATAAAGTCGCTCAAACAACTTTATAGGAAAAAATTGAATAATCCAAATTAAAAATGAACAAAAGATTTGAACAGACATTTCTCAAAGGAAAACATACACATGGCAAACAGACAAATGAAAAGGTGCCCAACATCATTTATCATCAGAGAAATGCAAATTAAAATTTCAATGAGATATCATCTCACTCAAATTAAAATGGCTTATACCCAAAAGACAGACAATAGCAAATGCTGGTGAGGATGTGGAGAAAAGGATACCCTTGTTCCCTGTTGATGGAAATGTTACTTAGTACAATTGCTGTGGAGAAGAGGGTGGAGGTTCCTCAAATACTAAAATAAAACTACTATATAATCCAGCAATCCTATTGCTAAGTTTACATCCAGAAGAAAGGAAATCAAATACTGCAGTTCAATATTTATTGCAGCTCTGTTCATGATAGCCAAGATTTGGATGCAACCTATGTGTCCATCATTCTTAAATGTATTAGTCCATTTCATGCTGCTGATAAAGACATACCCAAGACTGAGCAATTGACAAAAGAAAGAGGTTTAATGGACTCACACTTCCATGTGGCTGGGGAGGCCTCACAAGATGAAAGGCATGTGTGACATGGTGGCAGACAAGAGAAAAGAGTTTGTGCAGGGAAACTCCCTTTTATAAAGCCATCAGATCTCCTGAGACTTATTCACTATCACGAGAACAGCACAGGAAAGACCTGCCTCCATGATTCAATTGCCTCTGACCAGGTCCCTCCCACAACACATGGGAATTCAATATGAAATTTGAGTGGACACACAGCCAAACCATACCATTAAATGTGTTCTTTATGTGTTACGTATACACAATGGAGTACTATTCAGCCATAAAAAGAATAAGATTTTGTCATTTGCAACAACATGGATGGAACTGGAGGTCATCATGTAAAGTGAAATAAGCCAGGCGCACAAAGACTAACATCACATATTCTCACTTATTTATGGGATTTAAAAATCAAAACAATTGAACTCATAGTGATAGAGAGTAGAAGTATGGTTATCACAGGCTGGGAAGGGTAGTTGGGAATGAAGGGGAAGTAGCGATGGTTCACTGGTACAAAAAGATAGTTAAAATTAATGAATAAGGCCTAGTATTTGACAACACAACAAAGTAACTGTAGTCAATAACAATTTAATTGTGCATTGGAAAATAAGTAAATGAGTAAAATTGGATTATTTATAACACAAAAAATAAATGCTTGAGGGGATAGATATATCATTTTCCATGCTGAGATTATTATGCCTTGCATGCTTGCATCAAAACATCTCAAGTACCCCATAAATATAAATACCTACTATGTACCCACAACATTAAAAAATAAAAAAATTATAAGATCAATCTATTTCTACTGTAGAAATAGGTTTTTATTGTTATAAGATTTTTGAAATGATAATTCCTGCTACTATGATTAATTTATGGATACAGTTTATAGAATTTTTTATTCCTTAATCTTTGTTTTTATACAAAAGAAAATTCAGACACAATAGTTGTATTGATTATGTAACTGACCTATTAGTTGATTCTCATATCTTTTTGTTATTTTTTCTATATGACATTTTTTTTCACAATTTTAAGTCTGAAATTCTAGGACCTCATTTTATTTTTTATACAACAAATGGCCTTTTAAATATATTTTTGACATTGCCAACTTTCTTAGTGTTATAAACTTTTGGTGCCGCAAAAGGAATAGCACTCAAATATGAAATTTTCTTTTTAATTCTTAGCAAGGCAAGTTACTTCTATAGAAGGGTGCACCCTTACAGATGGAGCAATGGTGAGTGCACACCTGGACAAGGGAGGGGAAGGGGTTCTTATCCCTGATGCACATGGCCTCTGCGCTGGGTAGTCCCCCTATTGGGTAGGGTTAGACCGCACAGGCTAAACTAATTCCAATTGCCTAATTTAAAGAGAATGAAGGGATGAGTACTTTGGCAGGAGTCAGGGCAGAGCAGGTAGCAGGTAATGGGAATGAGTTAGGGTGGAGCAGGTGATCGGAATAAGTCAGGGTGGATTAGGTAATCAGAATGAGTCAGGGTGGAGTAGGTAATCGAAAAAGGTTGCTTTACCAGGAAGTTAAGTTTAAAAGTAGAAGGCAAATAATTGAACATACTGACATATTAAGTCTTTGAAAAGAAATTTACAACTCATATCTAACATTAGGAATTAATAATTATATTATGAAGTGATAAACTAAAGTAATAAAATTGTTAGAGAACAATGAAAGAGAAAGGAGCACATGAAAATGAACATTGCTAGATTTGCAATGTATTAAAACATTTACTCGTGCTAACCTTTTCTTTGGAATCTATTAGTGTCAGGCCTCTGAGCTCAGACTAAGCCATCATATCCCCTGAGACCTGCATGTATACATCCAGATGGCCTGAAGCAACTGAAGATCCACAAAAGAAGACATTTATGCAGCCAAAAAACACATGAAAAAATGCTCACCATCACTGGCCATCAGAGAAATGCAAATCAAAACCACAGTGAGATACCATCTCACACCAGTTAAAATGGCAATCATTAAAAAGTCAGGAAACAACAGGTGCTGGAGAGGATGTGGAGAAATAGGAGCACTTTTCCACTGTTGGTGGGACTGTAAACTAGTTCAACCATTGTGGAAGTCAGTGTGGCGATTCCTCAGGGATCTAGAACTAGAAATACCGTTTGACCCAGCCATCCCATTACTGGGTATATACCCAAACGACTATAAATCATGCTGCTATAAAGACACATGCACACATATGTTTATTGCGGCATTATTCACAATAGCAAAGACTTGGAACCAACCCAAATGTCCAACAACAATAGACTGGATTAAGAAAATGTGGCACATATACACCATGGAATACTATGCAGCCATAAAAAATGATGAGTTCATGTCCTTTGTAGGGACATGGATGAAATTGGAAATCATCATTCTCAGTAAACTATCGCAAGAACAAAAAACCAAACACCGCATATTCTCACTCATAGGTGGGAATTGAACAATGAGAACACATGGACACAGGAAGGGGAACATCACACTCTGGGGACTGCTGTGGGTTGGGGGGAGGGGGGAGGGATAACATTGGGAGATATACCTAATGCTAGATGACGAGTTAGTGGGTGCAGCGCACCAGCATGGCACATGTATACGTATGTAACTAACCTGCACATTATGCACATGTACCCTAAAACTTAAAGTATAATAATAATAATAAAAAGAAAAATAAATGAAAAAAAAAAAAGAAGTGAAAATAGCCTTAACCGATGACATTCCACAATTGTGATTTGTTCCTGCCCCACCCTAACTGATACAATATAGTCTCCCCCACCCTTAAGAAGGTACTTTGTATGGCTTTGTATGCCTATCCCAAACCTATAAGAACTAATCATAATTCCACCACCCTTTGCTGAGTCTTTTCGGACTCAGCCCGCCTGCACCCAGGTGAAATAAACAGCCTTGTTGCTCACACAAAACCTGTTTGGTGGTTTCTTCACAGGGACGTGCATGACAATTAGACTTTGTGCTCTACTGAATGAGGGAATAAATCAAGAAAGAAGACATGGATCACTGGACTCAACATAAGAAAGGGTTGAAGGAAAACCCCATAATGATGGTGAAAGGTAACAGCTTTGCAGAAATAAAGTCCAAGTTTGTGGTTCAGAGACTAGAGCCTGTCAGAAAGAGGATGACCAGACTGGAGCCTTTTAGAAAGCTCCAGCAAAGATTGTTTTCAGGAAAGTAAAATTGATGGTATTGGGAGAAGAGAGGAGCAATTGTTATACTGTTTTGGGTTGAATTAATAAGAATGTAACCACTGTATCATTAATTTCAATAAAATAAAGAGTAGTGTTTGAAATAAAAAGTAATCGCACTATAATGCTGTAGTTCTCAACAATTTGCAGACATCAGAATCTCCTAGAGGGCTTATAAAAACACAAATTCTTGGGTCCCATCTTCAAAGTTTCTAACAAATCTGGTGTGATACCCAAGAATTTGCAGCTGTCTCAAATTCTAAGGTAATGCTGACTTTGCTTGTCCAGGGCTGACAATCTGGGAACCATTGGTATAGTATGTGGCTCAGACGTGAAAGTGTTTGTGCAGTCATGATAACGTAATGATGAATATGGATTTAAGAGATGGTTGTATAAGATGATAGAGTCAGTATGTAAACATGTGTAAAGGGGTGGGGAAAAGGGGAGAATAAACAGCTAAATCTCCATTTTTCTATAAGGTCAAAAGATATCTAAACCTGAAAAATAAACACTTAGAAATATAAGCATTCTGTTTATTTAATTTTTTGAGACGGAGTTTTGCTCTTGTTGCCCAGGCTGGAGTGCAATGGCACAATCTCGGCTCACTGCAACCTCCACCTCCCATGTTCAAGCGAATCTCCTGCCTCAGCTTTCCAAGTAGCTGGAATTACCAGGCATGTGCCACTGCATCTGGCTAATTTTTGTATTTTTAGTAGAGACAGGGTTTCTCCATGTTGGTCAGGCTGGTCTCGAACTCCCAACCTCGGGTGATCTGCCCACCTCAGCCTCCCAAAGTGCTAGGATTGCAGGCGTGAGCCACCGTGCCTGGACAAGTATTCTATTTAAAGGTATAAAGATAAATATCAAATATATCAGTTAAAAGAAGTTTAAATATTTTTCTGTGGTGAGAAGGAAATGGTAGACAGGAACACGGGCTGTTTCAAAGGCTCCCTGCTTATCAAAGGGCGAAATCACCATGAAAAAGCATAAAAATGTGAACTGTGCATTTCTAAACAGGCCATTTGTTTAGAGTATGGGAGCTGAAACAAGAATGGAGGATGTCCCTTGTTCCACCTTGGCTGGGAGCTTGTGAGTCAGGAGATTCAACTTTATTTTGCTGCTCTGCCTGTGATGAGGAAAGTAATACGAAGTATTGATTTGGGGGTTAGAAACAAAGTGTACCCAGTAGGCAAATTTGCAAGTACAGAATCCACACTGTCAGGCCTCTGAGCCCAAGCTAAGCCATCATATCCCCTGTGACCTGCATGTACATATCCAGATGGCTGTACACATCCAGATGGCTGGTTCCTGCCTTAACTGATGACATTCCACCACAAAAGAAGTGAAAATGGCCTGTTCCTGCCCTAACTGATGACATTACCTTGTGAAATTCCTTCTCCTGGCTCATCCTGGCTCAAAAGCTCCCCTGCTGAGCACCTGGTGAACCCCCACCCCTGCCCACCAGAGAATAACCCCCCTTTTTTCCTTTACCTACCCAAATCTTATAAAACACCCCATCCCTATCTCCCTTCGCTGACTCTCTTTTCAGACTCAGCCCTCCTGCACCCAGGTGATTAAAAGCTTTATGGCTCACACAAAGCCTGTTTGGTGGTCTCTTCACACGGACACAAGTGAAATTTGGTGCCATGACTCAGATCGAGGGACCTCCCTTGGGAGATCAATCCCCTGTCCTCCTGCTCTTTGCTCCATGAAAAAGATCCACCTACAACCTCAGGTCCTGAGACCCACCAGCCCAAGGAACATCTCACCAATTTTAAATCAGGTAAGCGGCCTCTTCTTACTTGCTTCTCCAACCTCTCTCACTATCCCTCAACCACTTTCTCCTTTCAATCTTGGTGCCACTCTTCAATCTCTCCCTTCTCTTAATTTCAATTCCTTTCATTTTCTGGTAGAGACAAAGGAGACACATTTTATCCGTGGACCCAAAACTCTGGCACTGGTCATGGACTCGGGAAGGCAGCCTTCCCTTGGTGTTTAATCATTGCAGGGATGCCTGATTGTTCACCCACGTTTCAGAGGTGTCTGACCATGTGGGGATACCTGCCTTGATCCTTCAATCTTAGTGGCAAGTACTGCTTTTCTGGGGGACAAGAACCCCCCAACCCCTTCTGTGTCTCTGCCACTTCTCCACTTTCCTGGGGGGCAAGCACCCCCCACCCCTTCTCTCCATGTCTCTACCCTCTCTTTTCTCTGGACTTGCCTCCTTCACTATAGGCAACCTTCCACCCTCCATTCCTTCTTCTCCCTTCGCCTGTGTTCTTAAAAACCTAAAACCTCTTCAACTCACACCTGACCTAAAACCTAAATGCCTTACTTTCTTCTGCAATGCCGCTTGACCCCAATACAAACTCGACAGTGGTTCCAAATAGCCAGAAAACAGCACTTTCAATTTTTCCATCCTACAAGATCTAAATAATTCTTGTCGTAAAATGGGCAAACAGTCTGAGGTGGCTGATGTCCAGGCATTCTTTTACACATCGGTCCCTCCCTAGTCTCAGTTCCCAATGCAACTCATCCTTCTTTCCTTCCCACCTGTCCCCTCAGTCCCAACCCCAAGCATCACTGAGTCTTTCTAATCTTCCTTTTCTACAGACACATCTGACCTCTCCCCTCTTTGCCAGGCCGAGCTATGCAATTCTTCCTCAGCCTGTGCTCCTCCACCCTGTAATCCTTTTATCACCTCCCCTCCTCACACCTGGTCTGGCTTACAGTTTCGTTCCACCACCTGTCCAGCAATTTCCTCTTTAAAAAGTGGCTGGAGCTAAAGGGATAGTCAAGGTTAATACTCCTTTTTATTTATCCGACTTCTTCCAAATCAGTTAGTGTTTAGGCTCTTTTTCATCAAATATGAAAAACCCAGCCCAGTTCATACCCCATTTAGCAGCAACCCTGAGACGCTTTACAGCCCTAGACCCTGAAAAGCCAAAAGGCCGTCTTACTCTCAATATACATTTTATTTTATTACCCAATCTGCTCCTCACATTAAATAAAGCTCCAAAAATTAAATTCCAGCCCTCAAACCCCACAACAGGACTTAATTAACCTCGTCTTCAAGGAGTACTGTAATAAAGTAGAGGTAGCCAAGTAGCACTGTATTTCTGAATTGCAATTCCTTGCCTCCACTGTAAGACAAACCCCAGCCACATCTCCAGCACGTAAGAACTCCAAATGCCTGAACTGCAGCTGCCAGGGGTTCCTCCAGAACCTTCTCCCCCAGAAGCTTGCTACAAGTGCTGGAAATCTGGCCACTGGGCCAAGGAATGCCCACAGCTCAGGATTCCTCCTGAGCCATGTCCCATCTGTGCAGGACCTCACTGAAAATCGGACTGTTCAACTCACCTAGCAGCCACTTCCAGAGCCCCTGGAACTCTGGCCCAAGGCTCTCTGACTGATTCCTTCCCAGATCTTCTCGACTTAGCAGCTGAAGACTGACACTGCCCGATTGCCTTGGAAGCCTACAGGACAATCACAGATGCTCTGGGTAACTCTCACAGTGGAGGGTAAGTCCGTCCCCTTCTTAATCAATATGGAGGCTACCCACTCCACATTACCTTCTTTTCAAGGGCCTGTTTCTCTTGCCTCCATAACTGTTGTGGGTATTGATGGCCAGGCTTCTAAACCTCTTGAAACTCCCCAACTCTGGTGCCAACTTAGACAATACTCTTTTAAGCACTCCTTTTTAGTTATCCCCACCTGCCCAGTTCCCTTTTTAGGCTGAGACACTTTAACTAAATTATCTGCTTCCCTGACTATTCCTGGGCTACAGCCACACCTCATTGCCACCTTTTCCCCCAGTTCAAAGTCTCCTTCACATCCTCCCCTTGTATCTCCTCACCTTAACCCACAAGTATAAGACACCTCTACTCCCTCCTTAGTGACCAATCATGCACCCCTTACCATCCCATTAAAATCTAATCACCCTTACCCCACTCAATGCCAATATCCCATCCCACAGCATGCTTTAAAAGGATTATAGTCTGTTATCACTCGCCTGCTACAGCATGGCCTTTTAAAGCCTGTAAACTCCCCTTATAATTCCCCCATTTTGCCTGTCCTAAAACCAGACAAGTCTTACAAGTTAGTTCGGGATCTGCGCCTTATCAACCAAATTGTTTTGCCTATCTACCCCGTGGTGCCAAACCCATATACTCTCCTATCCTCAATACCTCCCTCCACAACCCATTATTCTGTTCTGGATTTCAAACATGCTTTCTTTACTATTCCTTTGCACCCTTCACCCCAGCCTCTCTTCGCTTTCACTTGGACTGACCCTAACACCCATCAGGCTCAGCAAATTACCTGGGCTGTACGGCCACAAGCCTTCACAGACAGCCCCCATTACTTCAGTCAAGCTCAAATTTCTTCCTCATCTGTTACCTATCTCAGCATAATTCCCATAAAAACACACGTGCTCTCCCTGCCGATCATGTCTGACTGATCTCTCAAACCCCAACACCTTCTACAAAACAACAACTCCTTTCCTTCCTAGGCATGGTTGGATACTTTTGACTTTAGATACTTGGTTTTGCCATCCTAACAAAACCATTATATAAGCTCACAAAAGGAAACCTAGCTGACCCCATAGATCCTAAATCCTTTCCCCACTCCTCTTTCCATTCCTTGAAGACAGCTTTAGAGAATGCCCCCACCCTAGCTCTCTGTGACTCATCCCAAACCTTTTCATTACCCACAGCTGAAGTGCAGGGCTGTGCAGTCAGAATTCTTACACAAGAACCAGGACCGCGCCCTGTAGCCTTTTTATCCAAACAACTTGACCTTACTGTTTTAGCCCTCAAGTCTGCATGCAGCGGCTGCCGCTGCCCTAATACTTTTAGAGGCCCTTAGAATCACAAACTATGCTCAACTCACTCTCTAGAGTTCTCATAACTTTCAAAATCTATTTTCTTCCTCCCTCACACCTGACACATATACTGTCTGCTTCCCGGCTCCTTCAGCTGTACTCACTCTTTGTTGAGTCTCCCACAATTACCATTGTTCCTGGCCCGGACTTCAATCCTGCCTCCCACATTATTCCTGATACCACACCTGACCCCCATGACTGTATCTCTCTGATCCACCTGACATTCACCCCATTTCCCCATATTTCCTTCTTTCCTGTTCCTCACTCTGATCACTTGGTTTATTGATGGCAGTTCCACCAAGCCTAATCGCCACACAGCAGCAAAGGCAGGCTATGCTATAGTAGAAGCCACTAGCCCGCCTCTTAGAACCTCTCATTTCCTTTCCATCGTGGAAATCTATGCTCAAGGAATTAACTTCTCAGTGTTCCCTCTGCTATTCTACTACCCCTCAGGGATTATTCAGGCCCCCTCCCTTCCCTACACATCAAGCTCATGGATTTGCCCCTGCCCAGGACTGGCAACTCTTAACTCCCTCTTAGAGTGGATAGATGATCTTAGCTGGCAGGGAACCCTCCAATACTTTCACCCTGAGGAAGTTCTATTCTTTACTTTTATACTCACTCTTATTCTCATTCCCATTCTTATGCCACCCTCTCCTCTCCCCAGCTATCTCCACCACACTATCAACCTTACTCATTCTCTCCTAGCTGTTTTTAATCCCTCCTTAGCAAACAACCGCTGGCTTTGCATTTCCCTTCCTTCTAGCACCTACACAGCTGTCCCCGCCTTACATGCAGACTAGGCAACATCTCCTGTCTCCCTACACCTCTGAACTTCCTTTAACAGCCCTCACCTTTACCCTCCTGAAGAGCTCATTTACTTTCTAGACAGGTCCAGCAAGACCTCTCCAGACATTTCACATCAGCAAGATGCCACCCTCCTCCATGCTTACTTAAAAAACCTTTCTCCTTATATCAACTCTACTCCCCCCATATTTAGACCTCTCACAACACAAACTACTATTCCTGTGGCTGCTCCTTTATGTATCTCTCGGCAAAGACCCAATGGAATTCCCCTAAGTAACGTTTCACCTTCTCAATGTTACTTCACTCTTCATCTCCAAAGCCCAACTACAAACATCACTGAAACAATTGGAGCCTCCCAGCTCCATATTACAGACAAGCCCTCTATCAATACTAGCAAGCTTAAAAACATTAGCAGTAATTATTGCTTAGGAAGACACCCTGTATTTTACTCCATCCTTGGCTACCTTCCCCTTGCTCGACAGACTCTCCTCCCAGGCCCTCTTCTTGTTTACTTATACCCAGCCCTGAAAATAACAGTGAAAGGTTGCTCATAGACACTTGATGATTTTCTCCTACACCATGAAAATCGAACCTCCCCCTCTATGCAGTTACCTCATCAGTCCCCATTAAAATCTCTGATGGCTGCCGCCCTAGCTGGATCCCTAGGAGTCTGGGTACAGGACAGCCCTTTCCTTCTCATCTCAGGACTCCTTCTCCTCTTTTTACTTTGCATCTCCAGTTTTGCCTCGCACAAGGTCTCTTCTTCCTCTGTGGATCCTCTACCTACATGTGTCTACCTGCTAATTGGACAGGCACATGCACACTAGTTTTCCTTAGTCCCAAAATTCAATTTGCAAAAGAGCTCCCTGTTCCCCTCATGACACTGACATGACAAAAAAGAGTTATTCCACTAATTCCCTTGCTTGTCAGTTTAGGACTTTCTGCTTCCACTATTGCTCTCGGTACTGGAATAGCAGGCATTTCTACCTCTGTCATGACATTCCGTAGCCTCTCTAATGATTTCTCTGCTAGCATCACAGACATATCACAAACGTTATCAGTCTTCCAAGCCCAAGTTGACTCTTTAGCTGCAGTTTTCCTCCAAAACCGCTGAGGCCTTGACTTACTCACTGCTGAAAAACGACAACTCTGTATATTCTTAAATGAAGAGTGTTGTTTTTACCTAAATCAATCTGACCTGGTATATGACAACATAAAAAAACTCAAGGATAGAGCCCAAAAACTTGCCAATCAAGCAAGTAATTACACTGAACACCCTTGGGCACTCTCTAATTGGATGTCCTTGGTCCTCCCAATTCTTAGTCCTTTAACACCTGTTTTTCTCCTTCTCTTATTCCATTTAGTCTTTCAATTCATACAAAACCATATCTAGGCCATCGCCAATAATTCTACACAACAAATGTTTCTTCTAACAACCCCACAATATCATCCCTTACCACAACATCTTCCTTCAGCTTAATCTCTCCGACTCTAGGTTCCTACACTGCCCCAACCCCGCTCGAAGCAGCCCTGAGAAACATTGCCCATTATCTCTCCATACCACCCCCAAAAATTTTTACCGCCCCAACACTTTACCACTATTTCATTTTATTTTTCATATTAATATAAGAAGGCAGGAATGTCAGGCCTCTGAGCCCAAGCTAAGCCATCATATCCCCTGTGACCTGCAGGTACACATCCAGATGGCTGTACACATCCAGATGGCTGCTTCCTGCCTTAACTGATGACATTCCACCACAAAAGAAGTGAAAATGGCCTGTTCTTGCCCTAACTGATGACATTACCTTGTGAAATTCCTTCTCCTGGCTCATCCTGGCTCAAAAGCTCCCCTGCTGAGCACCTTGTGACTCCTCCCACCCCTGCCCGCCAGAGAACAACCCCCCTTTTTTCCTTTACCTACCCAAATCTTATAAAACGGCCCCACCCCTATCTCCCTTCGCTGACTCTCTTTTCAGACTCAACCTGCCTGCACCTAGTCACTGATTAAAAGCTTTATTGCTCACAAAAAGCCTGTATGGTGGTCTCTTCACACGGACGTGAGGGAAACACACAAAATGAAAATTGGCTGTACTTTTCTTCTTAAATTACCATCAGTATGCCAGCAACTACAAAACAGATAGGATTCTGCTCAAATCTTCCTGGTGTCTCTGTATCCTGTCACATCCACCTGCCTCCTTGCAAGTTCTATTTAAATATCTTAAAGGAATAAAAATTCCAGTTTACCCCAAACTGAATTATTCTCTCTGCCCAGCAAAATCTGCAAATTTTCTGTATTCTGAATGATATTTTTAGCTTAAAATTCTTATCATATGACTCCCAGTTTGAAGGTGTGTCTGCAGGTTTGTTACAAGTCAGTATCTTCAGTTCAAACTTCTTTTTTTAAAATTATACTTTAAGTTCTGGGGTACATGTGCACAACTTGCAGCTTCGATACATAGGTATACATGTGCCATGTTGGTTTGCTGCACCCATCAAATCATCATTTACATTAGGTATTTCTCCTAATGCTATCCCTCCCTTAGCCCCCCGACCCCCGACAGGCCTCAGTGTGTGATGTTCCCCATCCTGTGTCCAAGTGATCTCATTGCTCAATTCCCACCTATGAGTGAGAACATGCAGTGTTTGGTTTTCTGTCTTTGTGACAGTGTGCTGAGAATGAGGGTTTCCAGCTTCATCCATGTCCTTGCAAAGGACATGAACTCATCCTTTTTTATGGCTGCATAGTATTCCATGGTATATATGTGCCACATTTTCTTAATCCATTCTATCATTGAGGGACATTTGGGTTGGTTCCAAGTCTTTGCTATTGTAAATACTGCCACAATAAACATATGTGTTCATGTGTCTTTATAATAGCATGATTTATAATCCTTTGGGTATATACCCAGTGATGGGATTGCTGGGTCAAATGGTAATTCTAGTTCTAGATATTTGAGGAATCGCCACACTGTCTTTCACAATGGTTGAAATAATTTACATTCCTACCAACAGTGTAAAAGCGTTCCTATTTCTCCACATCCTCTCCAGCATCTGTTGTTTCCCGACATTTTAATGATTGCCATTCTAACTGGCATGAGACAGTATCTTATTGTGGTTTTGATTTGCATTTCTCTGATGACCAGTGATAATGAGCATTTTTTCATGTGTCTGTTGGCTGCTTAGGTGTCCTCTTTTGAGAAGTGTCTGTTCATATTCTTTGCCCACTTTTTGATGGGATTGTTTGTTTCTTTCTTGTAAATTTGTTTGAGTTCTTTGTAGATTCTAGATATTAGCCCTTTGTCAGGTGGGTATATTGCAAAAATTTTCTCCCATTCTGTAAATTGCCTGTTCACTCTGATGGTAGTTTCTTTTGCTGTGCAGAAACTCTTTAGTTTAATTAGATCCTATTTGTCTATTTTGGCTTTTGTTGCCATTACTTTTGGTGTTTTAGTGATGAAGTCCTTGCCTGTTCCTATATCCTGAATGGTATTGCCTAGATTTTCTTCTAGGGTTTTTATGATTTTAGGTCTAACTTTTAAGTGTTTAATCCACCTTGAATTAATTTTTGTATAAAGTGTAAGGAAGAGATCCAGTTTCAACTTTCTACATATGGCTAGCCAGTTTTCCCAGCATCATTTATTAAATAGGGAATCCTTCCCCATTTCTTGTTTTTGTCAGGTTTGTCAAAGATCAGATGGTTGTAGATGTGTGGTGTTATTTCTGAGGCCTCTGTTCTGTTCCATTCATCTATAAATCTGTTTTCGTACCAATACCATGCTGTTTTGGTTACTGTAGCCTTGTAGCATAGTTTGAAGTCAGGTAGCATGATGCCTCCAGCTTTGTTCTTTTGGCTTAGGATTGACTTGGCTATATGGACTCCTTTTTGGTTCCATATGAAATTTAAAGTAGTTTTTTCCAATTCTGTGAAGAAAGTCATTGGTAGCTTGATGGGGATGGCATTGAATCTATAAATTACTTTGGGCAGTATGGCCATTTTCACGATACTGATTCTTCCTATTAATGAGCATGGAATATTCTTCCATTTGTTTGTGTCCTCTTTTATTTCCTTGAGCAGTGGTTTGTAGTTCTCCTTGAAGAGATCCTTCACATCCCTTGTAAGTTAAATTCCTAGGTATTTTATTCTCTTTGAAGCAATTGTGAATGGGAGTTCACTCATGATTTGGCTCTCTTTTTGTCTATTAATGGCGTATAGGAATGTTTGTGATTTTTGCCATTGATTTTGTATCCTGAGACTTTGCTTAAGTTGCTTATCAGCTTAAGGAGATTTTGGGCAGAGACAATGGGGTTGTCTAAATATACAATCATGTCATCTGCAAACAGGGACAATTTGACTTCCTCATTTCCTAATTGAATACTCTTTATTTCTTTCTCTTTCTTGATTGCCTTGACCAGAATTTCCAACACTATGTTGAATAGGAGTGGTGAGAGAGGGCATCCCTGTCTTGTGCCGGTTTTCAGAGGGAATGCTTCCAGTTTGTGCCCATTCAGTATGATATTGGCTGTAGGTTTGTCATAAATAGTTCTTATTATTTTGAGATATGCTCCATCAATACCTAGTTTATTGAGAGTTTTTAGCATGACAGGCTGTTGAATTTTGTCAAAGGCCTCTTCTGCATCTATTGAGATAATCATGTGGTTTTTGTCATTGGTTCTGTTTATGTGATGGATTACATTTATTGATTTGCGTATGTTGAACCAGGCTTGCATCCCAGGGATGAAGCCAACTTGATCGTGGTGGATAAGCTTTTTGATGTGCTGCTGGATTTGGTTTACTAGTATTTTATTGAGGATTTTTGCATCAATGTTCATCAGGGATATTGGTCTAAAATTCTCTTTTTTTGTTGCATCTCTGTCAGGCTTTGGTATCAGAATGATGCTGGCCTCATAAAATGAGTTCAGGAAGATTCCCTCTTTTTCTATTGATTGGAATAGTTTCAGAAGGAATGGTACCATCTCCTCTTTGTACCTCAGGTAGAATTTGGCTGTGAATCCATCTGGTCCTGGACTTTTTTTGGTTGACAGGCTATTAATCATTGCCTCAATTTCAGAGCCTGTTATTGGTCTATTCAGAGATTCAACTCTTTCCTGGTTTAGTATGGGAGGGTGTATGTGTCCAGGAATTTATCCATTTCTTCTAGATTTTCTAGTTTATTTGTTTAGAGGTGTTTATAGTATTCTGTGATGGTAGTTTGTGTTCTGTGGGATCAGTGGTGATATTCCCTTTATCATTTTTTATTGCATGTGTTTGATTCTTCTCTCTTTTCTTCTTTATTAGTCTTGCTAGCAGTCTATCAATTTTGTTGATCTTTTCAAAAATCCAGCTCCTGCATTCATGGATTTTTTTGAAGGGCTTCTTGTGTCTCAACCTCTTTCAGTTCTGCTCTGATCTTAGTTATTTCTTGCCTTCTGCTAGCTTTTGAATCTGTTTGCTCTTGCTTCTCTACTTCTTTTAATTGTGATGTTAGGGTGTCAATTTTAGATCTTTCCTGCTTTCTTCTGTGGGCATTTAGTGCTATAAATTTCCCTCTACACATTGCTTTAAATGTGTTCCAGAGATTCTGGTACGTTGTGTCTTTGTTCTCATTGGTTTCAAAAAACATCTTTATTTCTGCCTTCATTTCGTTATTTACCCAGTAGTCATTCAGGAGCAAGTTGTTCAGTTTCCATGTAGTTTTGTGGTTTTCAGTGAGTTTCCTAATCCTGAGTTTTAATTTGATTGCACTGTGGTCTGATAGGCAGTTTGTTGTGGTTTCTGTTCTTTTGCATTTGCTGAGCAGCACTTTACTTCCAATTATGTGGTCAATTTTAGAATAAGTGTGATATGGTGCTGAGAAGAATGTATATTCTGTTGATTTGTGGTGGAGAGTCCCGTAGATGTCTATTAGGTCTGCTTGTTGCAGAGCTGAGTTCTGGTCCTGGATATCCTTGTTAGCCTTCTGTCTCGTTGATCCATCTAATATTGACAGCATGATGTTAAAGTCTCCCATTATTATTGTGTGGGAGTCTAAGTCTCTTTGTAGGTCTCTAATGGCTTGCTTTATGAGTTTGGGTGCTCCTGTATTGGGTGCATATATATTTAGGATAGTTAGCTCTTCTTGTTGAATTGATCCCTTTACCATTATGTAATGGCCTTCTTTGTCTCTTTTGATCTTTGTTGATTTAAAGTCTGTTTTATCAGAGACTAGGATTGCAACCCCTGCTTTTTTTTTTTTTTTTCCATTTGCTTGGTGGATCTTCCTCCATCCCTTTATTTTGAGCCTATGTGCATCTTGGCATGTGAGATGGGTCTCCTGAATATAGGACACTGATAGGTCTTGACTCTTTATCCAATTCGCCTGTCTGTGTCTTTTAATTGGGGCATTTACCCCATTTACATTTAAAGTTAATACTATTATGTGTAAATTTGATCCTGTCATTATGATGTTCACTGGTTATTTTGCCCATTAATTGATACAGTTTCTTCATAGCATTGATGGTCTTTGCAATATGGCCTGTTTTTGCAGTGGCTCGTACCGGTTGTTTCTTTCCATGTTTATTGCATCCTTCAGGAGCTCTTGTAAGGCAGGCCTGGTGATGACAAAACCTCTCAGCATTTGCTTGTCTGTGAAGGATTTTATTTCTCCTTCACATATGAAGCTTAGTTTGGCTGGATATGAAATTCTGGGTTGAAAATTATTTTCTTTAAGAATGTTGAGTATTGTCCCCCACTCTCTTCTGGGTTGTAGGGTTTCTGCTGAGAGATCCGCTATTAGTCTGATGGGCTTCCCTTTGTCGGTAACTCGACCTTTCTCTCTGGCTGCCCTTGACACTTTTTCCTTCATTTCAACCATGGTGAATCTGACTAGTATATGTCTTGGGGTTGCTCTTTTCGAGGAGTATCTTTGTGGTGTTGTCTGTATTTCCTGAATTTAAATGTTGGCCTGTCTTGCTATGTTGGGGAAATTCTCCTGGATAATATCCTGGAGAGTGTTTTTCAACTTGGTTCCATTCTCCCCATCACTTTCATGTACACCAGTCAAATGTAGATTTGGTCTTTTCACATAGTCCCATATTTCTTGGAGGCTTTGTTCATTTCTTTTCACTCTTTTTTCTCTAAACTTGTCTTCTTGCTTTATTTCATTAATTTGATCTTCAATCACTGATACCCTTTCTTCCACTTGATTGAATCAGCTATTGAAGCTTGTGCATGCGTCACAAAGTTCTTGTGCCATGATTTTCAGCTCCATCAGGTCATTTAAGGTCTTCTCTACACTGTTTATTCTAGTTAGCCATTCGTCTAATCTTTTTTCAAGGTTTTTAGCTTCCTTGAGATGGGTTCGAGCATCCTCCTTTAGCTCGGAGAAATTTGTTATTACTGACCTTCTGAAGCCTACTTCTGTCAACTGGTCAAAGTCATTCTCCATCCAGCTTTGTTCTATTGCTGGCCAGGAGCTGCGATCCTTTGGAGGAGAAGAGGTGCTCTGATTTTTAGAATTTTAAGCTTTTCTGCTCTTGTTTCTCCCCATCTTTGTGGTTTTACCTACCTTTGGACTTTAATGTTGGTGACCTACAGATGGGGTTTTGGTGTACATGATCTTTTTGTTGATGTTGATGCTATTCCTTTCTATTTGTTAGTTTTCCTTCTAACAGTCAGGTCCCTCAGCTGCAGGTCTGTTGGAGTTTGCTGGAGTTCCACTCCAGAACCTGTTTGCCTGTGTATTACCAGCAGAGGCTCCAGAACAACAAATATTGCAGAACAGCAAATATTGCTGCCTGATCCTTCCTCTGGAAGCTTTGTCCCAGAGAGGCAGCTGCCTATATGAGGTGTCTGTCAGCCCCTACTGGGACCCACTTGCGGAGGCAGTCTGTCCATTCTCAGAGCTCAAATGCTGTGCTGGGAGAACCACTGCTCTCTTCAGAGCTGTCAGACAGGCATGTTTAAGTCTGCAGAAGTTTCTGCTGCCTTTTGTTCAGCTATGCTCTGCTCACAGAGATGGAGTCTAGAGGCAGTAGGCCTTGTTGAGCTGCAGTGGGCTCCACTCAGTTCGAGCTTCCTGGCCACTTTGTTTACCTACTCAAGCCTCAGCAATGGTGGACGCTCCTCCCCCAGCCAGGCTGCCATCTCACAGATCGATCTCAGACTGCTGTTCTAGCAGTGAGCAAGGCTCTGTGGGCATGGGAGCCACTGAGCTGGGCAAAAGAGAGAATCACCTTGTCTGCCAGTTGCTAAGACCTTGGGAAAAGCACAGTATTTAGGCAGGAGTGTTCCATTTTTCCAGGTACCATCTGTCACAGCTTCCTTTGGCTAGGAAAGGGAAATCCCATGATCCCTAGTGCTTCCTGGGTAAGGCAATGCCCCGCCCTGCCTTGGCTTGCCCTCCATGGGCTACAGCCATTGTCCAACCGGTTCCAGTGAGATGAACCAGGTACCTCAGTTGGAAATGCAGAAATCACCCATCTTCTGCATCGATCACGCTGGGAGCTGCAGACCAGACCTGTTCCTATTCGGCCATCTTCTTCAGTTCAAACTTCTAAGATCAGCTCTAATATTTTGTCCTCTCTCCTCATTCTTTTAACTCCAACCATTAAGACACATTTTATTTCCTGAATATGTAATGTTCTCTCTTATTTCTGAGCCATTAAACAACTTGTTCTTCCCCATATTTGAAACACCTTTCTCCCTCAACCCCTCTACCTGGATAATTATGAGTCTTCCTTTAGGATTCATTTTAAGCATCACTTATTCAGAGAGATCCTTCTTGACTCTACAGATTACTTAAGTCTCTGTTGTTGCACTCTAAACTTTGATTTTGGCTATACTAATTATACCTGTAACTAATTATGTAGCAAATTTAATTTTCATTGTTACAGACTCAGAGATTTTTAAAAATCTGTATTTACTGATATATTTTATCTAATATATTCTGCGTTTTGACTACAAATCTGATGGCACTAAATTTATTTGTGTTACTTACAATATGACCAGCCACTATAAGATTTTTATTGTTTGTATGAATTAAATTTAGTATACTGTAAGAGATCTCAAAATACAAAAGCTTTAATAACATAGCTGTAAATTTTCTCTCCAATAAGAGTACCAAAGCCTAGGCTCACTGTTCAGCTCTCCTGAAAGAAGTAATGCTGGGCAGGACCCAGGTCCTTTCTGTTCACTGGCTCTAACTTCTCTAAATTCATCATCATGAACTGTATAACTGAGTCTAGATTACATCCATGTTTAAATTACAGCCTGTGGAAGGAGAAAAAGTTAAATTCTAGAAAAAAGAGCTTGGAGATGCCTAGAGTTACAATTTGTACCATGCCAGGTTGGATTCTTGTTCACAACTATTCTCTCCTTTCTTTAATTAAGTTATATATCCACACCTTTTGCCAAATGACTTCATAGTACCCTACCAGTAGATAAACTAGAGAAGATATTCCTGCTCCATCAATGACTTGGTCATTGCTATTTTACTATTGGAATGTGTATGGAAATGATGGTGTGTTTGTTCCAATCAGAAGCTTTGAGAGACTTTGTGTATTCTTCTAGTCTGTCATCAGTTTCCAACCTTCTATAAGAGAAAAGGCTGCACCAGACCGTGGTTGCTCCTTGTGGTTTCCAAGAATAAAAAGATACTGTAGTCACATTTTGTTTATCAATTTCTCAGTTGATGGCTTGTTTCTATCTTTTCCCTATTATGAATAATACTACTATGAACATTTGTGTAGAAACTTTTGTGTAAACATATGTTTTTATTTCTCTTGGGTATATATCTAGTGCCAACATTACTGGGCCATCTGGTAACTCTATGTTCAATTGTTTCATGAACTGTCAGTTTATTCCGAAGCTGCTGCATCATTTTATATTCCCAAAAGCAGCATATACATGTTTAGAATTTTCCAAATCCTTACTGACACTTCCTAATGTCTGATTTTTTTATTCTAGTGGATGTGAAGTAGTATCTTATTGTGGTTTTGATTTGGATTTTCCTAGTAAATAATGATGTCAGACATCTTTTTATTTATTTATTTATTTTTTGCTTTTTAGCCATTAGTATATCTTTCTTGAAACAGTATCAGTTCAGGTCTTTTTCTCATAGTTTAATCAGGTTATTTGTCATTTTATTATTGAGCTGTGAGAACTTTATTCTGGATGCAAGTCCTTTATTAGATATATTCTTTTCATATATTTTCTCCATTCTGTGTGTTGTTTAGTTTTGTTTTTACTTTTTAAATGGTGTACTAGAAACACTAAAGTTTAAAATTTTAAAATTTTTATGAAGTTAAATTAACATATATTTTCTTCGGTTGCCCATCCTTTGGATGTCATATATAAGAATCCTTTGCTGAATACAAGGTCATGAAGATTTATCCCAATCTTTAATCTTTTCTCATGAATATTTTATATTTTACCACTTACATCTAGGTCTTTTAAAAAATGTTTTATTTTTAATGTTTGTGTGTACATGGTAGGTGTATATATTTATGGGGAACATGAAATATTTTGACAAACACATACAATATCTAATAATCATATCAGGGTAAATTGAGTATTCATCTACTCAAGCCTTTATCTTTTTTTGTGTTACTGACAGTACAATGCTAATATTTTATTAATTTTTAGATATACAATAAATTATTGTTGACTGTAGTCACCCTGTTCTGCTATCAATTAGTAGATCTTATTCATTCTATTATTTTTGGATCCATTAACCATCCACACTCCACCTCTCATTACCCTTGCTTGCTTCTGATAACCATCATTATACTCTAAATCTCTGTGAGTTCAGTTGTTTTTATTTTAGCACCCACAAATCAGTGAAAACATGTGAAAGGTCTCTTTCTGTGCCTATTTACTTCACTTAATATAAGAACCTCCAGTTCCATCCATGTTGGGCAAACCACAGGACATCATTTTTTTATGGCTGAATAATACCCCATTGTGTATATCATGTTTTCTTTATCCATTAGTCTGTTGATGAACATTTAGATTGCTTCCAAATCTTGGCTATTGTAAATAGTGTTATAATAAATATGGGAGAGCAGATATCTCTTTGATATATTGAATTTCTTTCTTTTGGGTATATACTTAGCAGTGGGATTGCTGGATCATATGGTAGCTTTATTTTTAGAATTTGAGGAACCTCCAAACCAGTGGTTGTACTGATTTGCATTCCAACCAACAATGTACTAGGTTTCCCTTTTCTCTGTATCTTGGCAGCATTTGTTATTACCTGTCCTTTGAATATAAGCCATTTTAATTGGAATGAGGTGACATCTCATTGTAGTTTTGATTTGCATTCTTTGATGATCAAGGATGTTGAACACCTTTTCATATATCTGCTTGCCATTTGTATGTCTTCTTTTAAAAAATGCCCATATTTTTAAGTTGGATCAGTAGAGGTTTTTTTTTTCTATGAAGTTTTTTGAGCTCCTTAAATATTCTGGCTATTAATCTCTTGTCAGATGTGTAGTTTGCAAATAACTTCTTCCGTTGTGTGGTTTGTCTCTTTACTTTGTTGATTGTTTCTTTTTTGTGCAGAAGCTTCTTAACTTGATGTGATCTCATGTGTCCATTTTTGCTTTGGTTGCCCATTTGTAGGGTATTGCTCAAAAATCTTTGTCCAGTCCAACATCCTGGAGAGTTTCAGCAATGTTTTCTTTTAGTAGTTTCATAGTCTGAAGTCTTATAATTATATCTTCAATTCATTTTGATTTGATTCTTGTATATAGTGAGATAAGTTTTAGCTTCTTTCTTCTGCTTGAGGATATTTATGTTTCCCAGCACAATTTATTGATGAGACTGTTTCCCCAATGTGTATGTTCTTGCCACCTTTGTCAAAAATGTGTTCACTGTAGATATCTGCATTCATTTCTGTGTTTTTATTCTGTTCCATTTGTCTATGTGTCTGTCTTTATGCTAGTACCATGCTCTTTGAATTACCATAGCTCTGTAGTACAATTTGAAGGCAGGTAAAGCGATTCTTCCAGTTTTGTGCTTTGTTTCCAGGACAGCTTTGGTTATTCTGGGTCTTCTGTAGTTCCATTTAAATTTTAGGATTGCTTTTCTATTTCTGAGAAGAATGTCATTGGTATTTTGATAGAAACTTCATTGCATCTGTAGACTGCTTTGAGTAGTACAGACATTTTAACAATATTGATTCTTCCAATACATGAACATGGTATATCTTGCTTTTTTTTCTCTTCATATTCTTTCACTAATATTGTATAGCTTTATTGTAGAGATCTTTCACTACTTTGGCTACATTAACTACTAATTATTTTGTTTTATTTGTAGCTATTATAAATGGAATTCATTTTTTATTTCTTTTTCAGATTGTTCACTGTTAGACAAAAATGCTACTGTTTTTTGTATGCTGATTTGTATTCGGCAACCTTTAATTTGTCAGTTCTAATATTTTTTGGTGGAGTCAAGATTTTTCCAAAACTAAGAGCGTATCATCTGAAAGCAAGAATAATCTCCCTTATTTCTTTCTTTCTCTTGTATGATTGCTTTAGCTAAGATTTCCAGTACTATGTTGAATAACAGTGGTGAAAGTAGGCATCCTTGTTGCATTCCTGATGTTAAAGGGTTTCAGAGTGTGTATTCAGCATCTGTAGAATGAAATGTACTATAAATATCTATTACGTCCATTTGTATTGTAGTGTAGATAAAGTCTGATGTTTCTTTGTTGATTTTCTGTCTAAATATCTGTCCAAAGATGAAAGTGAGGTGTTGAAGTCTTCAGCTCTTATTGTAGGGGAGTCTTTCTCTCTCATTTTTACTCTAATAAAATTGGTTTTGTATATCTGGGTGCTGCAGTGTTGTATGCATACATGTTTATGATTGTTATATCCTCTTGCTGATTTTACCCCTTTGTCATTATATAATGCCCTTCTTTATCTCTTTGTATAGCTGTTGTTTTGAAATCTATTTTGTCTAATATGAATATAGCTACTTCTGCTCTTTTTTGATTTCCATTTGCAAGGAATATTTTTTCCATCCCTCTATTTTCAGTTTATGTATGTCTTTATAAGTTAAGTGTGTTTCTTGTACGCAATAGATTGTGAGACTTTTTTTTTTTAATTCATTTGTCCCCTCTGTGTCTTTTGACTGGAGAGTTTAATTCATTTACATTCAATATTATTATTAATACATAAAAAATTATTCCTAACATTTTGTCATTTCTTTCTAGTTATTTTGTGGTCTTCTGTTCCTGTTCTCTTGTTAGTAAAGATAATTTTCTCTAGTGATATGTTTAATTTTTTGTCTTTAATTCTTGTTTATCTATTGTATCTTTTTAGATTTAAGTCTAATAAAAGGCTTGCAGATAATATCTCATATCTTATTTTGAACTGACGACAACACTGATAGCATAATAAACAAAATAAGCAGAAGGAAAATTAATAAAGATGCTATAGTTTACCTTTATTCCTCTACCTTTTAACTTTTTTGTTTGTCTTTCTATCTTTATGTAATGTCCATGTCTTGAAAAGTTGTTGTAGTTATTCTTTTTTATTGGTTTATCTTTTCATTTTTTCTACTTAAGATACAAGTAATTTGCATGCCACAATTATAGTGTTATAATATTCTATGTTTTTGTGTATCTACTATTATCAGTGAGTTTTATACCTTCAGTTGATTTGTTTTTGCTCATTAACAACACTTTCTTTTAGATTGAAAAACTCCCTTTAGCATTCTTGTAGTATAGATTTGATGTTGATAAAATTCCTCACCTTGTGTTCACCTGGGAAAGTCTTTATTTTTCCTTCATGTTAGAAAGATATTCTTGGTTTATTCTACAATAAGTTTTTTCTTTCAGCACTTTAAATATCTCATGCCTCTTTCACATGGCCTGTGAGGTTGCCACTGAAAATTCTGCTGCCAGACGTATTGGAACTGTGTTGTATGTTATTTATTTTAAGTACTTTTTTATCCTTGGCCTTTGGGAGTTTGATTATTAAATGACTTGAGGTAGTCTTACCTAGGTTAAATCTGCTTGGTGTTTTATAGCCTTCTTGTACTTGGATATTGATATATTTCTCTAGGTTTGGGAAGTTCTCTGTTATTATCCCTTTGAATAAGCTTTCTACCCCTATCTCTCTCTCTATTCCTTTTGTAAGGCCAGTAACTCTTAGATCTGCCCTTTAAGGCTATTTTCTAGATCTTGAAGATGTGCGTCTTTCTTTTTAATTCTTTTTTCTTTTTTCTCCTCTGACTGTGTATTTTCATATAACCTACCTTCAAGCTCCCTAATTCTTTCTTCTGCTTGATCAATTCTGTTATTGAGAGACTCTGATGCATTCTTTGGTATGTTAATTGCATTTTTCAACTCCAGAATTTCTACTAGAATCTCTTTAATCATTTCAGTCTCATTTGTTAAACTTATCTGATAGGATTCCAAATTTATTTGAGTTTTCTCAAAACAGCCATTTTGAGTTCTCTGCCTGATATGTCACATATACTTGAGTCTCTGGGATTGGCTCATTGTGTCTTATTTAGTTCATTTGGTGAGGTCATTGGATGGTCTTGATGTCTATGGATTTCTCAGTGTCTGGGCATTGCATTCAAGAGTTAGCTATTTATTGTAGTCTTCACAATCTAGGCTTGTTCATACCTTTCCTTCTTTGGAAGGCTTTCGAGATATTCAAAGGGATTTAGGTGTTGCATCACAAGTTTTTAGTCACTGCAAACATATCTGCATTAGGGGGTGCCTTAAGCTTAGTAATGTTGTAGTTCTTGCAGCACCATAAAGATATCACCTTGATGGTGTCGAATAACATCTGGAAGAATTTTCTAGATTACCAGGCAGAGATTCTTGTTCTCTTCCCTTAATTTCTTCCAAACAAATGCTTGCTCTCTCTCTCTCTCTTTCTCTCTCTTTGTTGAGTTACCTGGTGCTGGGGTAGGGGTGACAAAAGCACTCCAACTCACTACCACTACCACTGGGACTTTGCTGGGTCAGACATGAATCCAGCACTGCACTGGTCTTACCCAAGGCCCACTGTAACCATGACCTTGCTACCACCTATGTTTACTCAAGGCCCTAAGCTCTACAATCAGCAGGTAGCCTAACTTGGGTCTTTCCCTTCAGGGTGGCAAGATCCCCTGGGTCATGGGGGCACAGGGTGCTCTATTCTACAGCAGCTAAACTGGCACTGAAACCACAAAATAAAAATCCTTGCTCTCATTTCTTCTCTTTTTCCAAGTCAGAAGAGCCACTCCCCATGTCCACCACTACCAAAAGCACACAGGGAGTACTGCCTAGCTACTGCTGATGAAAGACCCAAGTGCTTTTAGTCAGCTTGTGGTGAATGCTTTCAGGCTTGAGACTTTCCTTTCAGGGCAGTGGGCTCCCCTCTGGCCAAGGGCAGGTTCAGGCATGCCATCCAAGATGAAGTCCTGGAATGAGGTACCCCAAGAGCCAACTTTGTGTGCTCTTATCCACTGTGGCTGAGCTGGTAGCTAAGCTGCAAGACAAAGTCTCCTCTATTCTTTTTTCTCCTTTTCTCAAGCAGAAGTGATCTCTCTCCATAACCACCACATTTGTGAATATGCTGGGACACAGCTATAGCCAGTATGTCTCAGGGTCTCAATCAAGGTCAAGAGCATGAGCTACCTGGTTACCTATGCTGATTATTCAGGGCCCAAAGGCACTTTAGTCAGTAGGTGATAAATCCTGCTGGGTGTTGGTGGCACTGAATTTCAATACAAAGTCCCTCAGTCACTGCACTCTCCCTTCTCCAAGTGCACAGATTCTTTCTCCATGCTATATAGCTGCTAACAGTGTATGGGAAAGGGGTGGTGTCAGGAAATCAACACTGTCTTTTCTACCTTCTTCAGTGCCTCTTTCACTGATATAAAGTTAAAACTAGGTATTGTGGTCTCACACCTGTTGTTTGGTTCTTATGAAGATGCCTTTTTTATTGTACATGGTTTTTAGATTTGGTGTTCCTGCGGAGAGAAGAATCCTTGAAGGCTTCTATGTAGACTTCTTGTTCTGCTTCCTTCTCTTTAAGATGTTTTGTATAAGAATCATGTCTGTACCAAATACAACAGATGCAATGTATAAGTTGCGGATCTATTTAATTCCTACCATTTCTCTCTGAAGTTTTAATTTTTGCATGTTCAGTGAGATATAAATGATATGTCATTGCAGTCTTTTCATTTTGTGGTCATCAGTGTTGTTGAATATCTTGTTTAGAGTTTATTTGTAATAGGTTTGTCTCTTATATAAAATGCCATGCCAAAAAAAAAAAAAGAATCATGTCATCTGAGAATAGTGTCATTTTTACTCCTTCTTTTCCAATCTGAATGCCTTTTATTTCATTTTGTTAACTAAATGCCCAGACTAAATCCTCTAATATAATATAAATGTAAGTGGTAGGAGTAAACATTCTTATCTCATTCCTGATCTTAAGGGAAGAAGAATCCTATCTTTTATTATTAGTATGTTAACTGCGGGCTTTTGTGGATGTCTCTGATTTTATTTAAGAGTTTCCTTTCTATGCTTAGTTTGTTGAATATCACATGATTATCAAATGCTTTTTCTGCATCTATGGAGATTATCATGTAATTTTTTCCCATTGAGGTGATAAATTACATTAATCAGTTCTCAGATGTAGAACCAGCCTTGAATTCCTGGAATAAATCCCACTTGCTAATGTTACATAATTATTTTTGTTGTTGGATTCATTGTGCTAGTATTTTGTGGCATTTTTTGTAAAGAGTAAAAAGAGGCAATGTTCTGTACTTTTCTTATGATGTGTTTGATTTTGGTGTCAGGATAATAGTAACTTCATGGAATGAGTTGGAAAGTGTTTCAACTTTTGTTTTTGGAAAATTTTTTAAAGAATTGGCTATTAATTCATCAAATGCTTGGGAGAACTCAGTAGTGAAGTCAAGTGGGTTTCAGCAGTGAAGCTGTCTGAGCCGAGGCTTTTCTTCGTGGGTAATTTTTTTCAATACTACTTAAATTTCTTCACTTGTTATAATTAACGTTGGATTATCTTACTTCTTGGGTCAGTTTTGGTAGCTTGTGTTTCCAGAAAATTGTCCATTTCATATGTTATCTAAAGTGTTGGTATAAAATTGTTCATAGTATTCTTTCATAATTTTTCTTTATATTTCTGTAGGAAAGCAGGAATGTTCTATTCTTCATTTTTGATTCTAGTAATTTGAGTTATTTCTTTTGTGCTTGATCAATCTGGTAAAGATTTGTCAATTTTATCGATCTTTTAAATAAATTAGTTTTGGTCTCATTGCATTTTTTCCTGTTCTTTAATTTATTAATTTCCATGTGATTCCTTATTATTTCCTTCCTTATGTTTCTATGAGTTTAGTTTCCTATTTTTTTTCCCCAGGGCTTATGGTAGAAGGTTAGGATATTAATTGACTTTATTCTTTCTTAATATAGGAAGTTATAGCTATATGTTTCACACTTAATAATTCTTTAGCTAAATCCCAGAAGTTTTGATATATCTATACACTAATTTATCCAAAAGTAATCATATATTCCTTTCAATTTATTCTTTAACTCATTGATTGTTTAGAAATGTTTTTTAAATTTCTACATATTTGTGAGTATCTCAAATTTTTCCTATTGATGTCTGATTTTATTCCATTATGATCAGATAACATATTTTGCATTGTTTCTATTATTTTCTATGTATTTAAATTTATTTCATAATTTTTAATATGTTCCATTCTAGAAAACATTTCATGCACACTTGAGAAGAGTGTATCTTCTACTATCATTGGATGGAGAGTTCTACGTGTTACCCAAGAGAGTAGATAGTCCGGTTCTTGTTGAACCCGGGAGAAAGATTTCAGTGAGGCCATAGGCTGAGATAACAGAGATCTTTAGTGAAAGGAAATAGGGAGCAGAGTGTTTATTTAGAGAAACAGCACTCTCTGCAAAGATGAAGCACAGTGGGGTGCTGAAGTGAGCCAGCAGGAGATTAATAATTCTGTCTTGGCTTTTTATTATGTTGGACTATTTTGGGAAGTTCCTGCTTCTGTCTCAAGTCTCTGCCTCTTTTCTTTGTCAAGTTATTCTATTCCTTCCTTAGGTATCCACCTTGTCCCTGCCTAGTTCCCACCCCAGGTTTGTGAGACTTTCACTTACTATTAGTTAAGATGTATATGCAGGCCAGTGATCAACAGGAATTCTGCCTAATGGCAGCATTGCTCCTTACTGCCACCCCAGGAAGGTCATATAGTGCTTAAATCTGTACCTGTTACGCCTGTGTATCTCCTTGCCATTTCTATGTTCTGATTTGTATTTTGGTGCCAGATTTCTCTGAGGACTTTCTTATTTTCCCTTTTATCAGCATGTACCTAGCTATATTCTGAGGGGTTAACTGCAGAATGAATGATTACTAGGCATCTTAATGGACGTTTCATTTTGCCTGAGTACCTCCTCTCTTACCTGCTTATATCTAGCATGCCTATTTCAGGTGTTCCCTGGTGTGTAAAATATTTCAGATCTTCCCTTGCTTAAAGGGTCTCTTCTCCTGCTTATGTCTGGCTACCTGCCTACTCTAACATATGGATATCTCTTATATCTAGTTGGTGTACACATCGTTAAAATGTCCCATTACTCTGTTGACCTTTTTTTTCTGTCCATTATCGAGGTGAGATATTGAATTCCCCAATAATTATTGTAAAACTGTTTCTCCCTTCATTTCTGTCAGTTTTTGTTTCATATATTTTGGTGTTCTTATATTAGGTGCATATAGGTTTATAATTGTAATATTCTTCTAATGGATTGAATCTTTTATCATTGCAAACTTTCCCTCTTTATATCTAATATCATTTTATTTTTGTTTTAAAATTTATTTTCCTTGATATTAGTAAAGAAAGCCTCTCCAGCTTTCTTTTGGTTGCTATTTGCACTGTTTTTAACTTTCAACTTGTTTGTTGTTTTTAAATCTAAAGTAAATTTATAGGTAGAATATAGGTGGATCATGTATTTTATCTAGTCTGATAATTTCTGCATTTGATTGGAGTATTTAATCCATTCACACTTAATATGGTTTGATTTATGTTTGCCATTTTAATATTCAAAATTTTTATAGGCCTCATGTCTTGTTTATTCCTTCCATTTCTTTTTTTTACTGTTTTCTTTTGCAACAAATGAATATTTTCTAATGTAATATTTTAATTTGTTTATTGATTCTGCTTATTATGTTATATTTTTATTAGTTGCTCTAGGGTTCACCATATACTTCTTAACTTACTAAATCAGTTTCTGATTTGTAATAGCTTAATTCTAGTGATAAATAGAAATGTTACTTCTATGTAGCTCTATCTCTTTTATCTTTTTTGTTATTATTTTCATATATATTACATATATTAATGTTATAAAGCCAGCAAATATATTATAATTATTTAATCTATAATCATTTCCTTAGCCCAAATGCAGCACTATTCTCACTCACCTCCTGTGTGCTACTGTTGACAAACATGTTACATATATATTACATTTTTATATTTCATAGGCCCAATAATATATTATATCCACATATTATAATATATTATATCCACATTATTTTATCTAACAGCTTTAAATTGGAGGAGACAATAAAAAATGCTTTTCTACTGTCTTTAAAATATGTAATTACCTTTACCAGTGCTTTTTTTTTTGGAAAAAAAAAAAGGATTCAATTCAAATTGCTATATGGAATCATTTTCTTTCAGCCTGAAAAATTTCTTTAGTATTTTTTGTGAGTCTGGTTGCAACATACTTTCTCAGTTTTATTACTTCTGGAGTTTGTTTCTTTCTTTAGGAGTTTGTTTATTTTCTTTTTTAATCTGAAAAAGTATGTATTTGTCTTTATTTTTAAAAGAGAGCTTTGCTGCATGTTAAATTCTTAACTCCTGTTTGGCAGTTTTATTCTTTGTGCCATTGAATATTTTATCCCAGTTCTTTCTGCTTCCATTATTTCTGTTAAGAACTCAACTGTTAATCTTATTGAGGTTGTTTTGAAAGTTAACAGTCATTTATATTTTTGCTGCCTTTATGATTTTTTCTTGTCTTTGACTTTCAGCATTTCTAGTGTGCTGTGTCTGTTTTAAATCTCTTTGTGTTTATTCTCCTTGGAGTTTACTAAGTTCATTAGATGTGTATATTAATATTTTTGTTTTTTAAAATCATAGTGAGGTGGTTTTCAGCCATTATATTTTCTGATATTTTTTCTTCTCTTCCCCCCCCCCCCTTTTCTTTCTGGTTCCTTCATTACATGTATGTTAGGGCGTTCAATATCATCCCATGTTTCTCTGTGGCTCTCTTTATTTTTCTTTATTCTTTCTTGGTTTTCTGCTTATATGATTTCTATCAATCTATGTTTGTTAGCTTACTCTTCTGCTATTTCACACATACTATTGAGCCATTATTGTGATTTTTATTTTTAATTTCAGTAAATTAACTTTTCAATTCCATAATTTTCATTTGAGTCTTCTTTATAACTTCTGTCTCTTTACTGATAGTCTCTATTTGGTATGCTGTCATATTATTATTTACTTCTTTAATCATGGTTTCTTTATAATTATAAGGGTTAATTTAAGTCTTCTTCTGATAGATCTGACATCTGATCTCTCTCATAGACAGATTTTGTTTCATCTGTGTTTCTCCTCTGGTGTTTGAGTAATATTTTCTTGTTCCTTTGAATGCCTAATATTTTTTAATTGATCATTTTAGATAGTATATTGTATTAACACTACATACTGGTCTTCCTTCCCCTTTGTGTTTACAAGTATTATTTTATGGTTTATATGTGAAGTGACTGAGTTTGTGGAGTATTTTAGTGAGGTCTCTCTCCAGCACAACTGCTCTACACACATGTAGTTTGAGTCTTAGATGTTGTCAACGGGAAGGGCAATGTAGTCATCTGGACTAAGATGACAGTATTTTTAGTAAGGCTCTCTCCCTTGTTCACACCTAGCTCTTAGATTGTGCTGGTTGATTCTTTTATTATTTTTTAACAATTCCCTGGAGTATAAATTACTCTATAGATGAATCCAATCAAATTCTCATTACTTTTAAGGAATAATTGAAGTCACTACTTTATTTTTGTTCTGATCCAGGAGCACTCTTCCCAGCTGTCTTATTCCAGGTCTCCTCTGCAAACTAATTGGCCTATAGTTTAGTCTGCATCTTGGGTCACTCTTAAATTCCTTTTATTACAGCCTCACTGTTCTTGAGAACAACTTCAGATTTGAAATTCTTTACTCTCTGCTGCAAATGGGGTCAACTACTTTCAGAAGAAAGTAGGAGCTATCTCTTTTATGTGGTGGTGGTGGTGGTTTTTTTTTTTTTCTCGCCCCCTCATTTCACCAAGGAAAATCTCTGAGCTAGGGATTTGGAACTAAAGGTGAGGACTATGGCAA